>NC_000009.12:103675097-103826612 GCF_000001405.40 Homo sapiens
AAAGATCTTAATACTCAGTGTGCTCATTCCTACTACAGCAATATTACTACTAGGCCATATCAGTAGAGAGAAGTAAGGAAAAAATTTTATATATATATATATATATATATATATATTTATATTTATATATATAATACATAATTTTATATATATGTATATAAGAGTGATGAATTCCATTGTATCCATGAATATGTACTAAAAAAAATCTGTTCACGCCTTTTCCTCCAATTCCAATTCACTACTTCAGTGTTATTTCTGTACTTGTAAATCTACTCCTGATATCCATGATTCTCAATGTATTTACTCGTTTATCTCCTGCCATCCCACTGACACCTACTTTCTTGTTAAGTACTCTGCAGACTTTCTTGACCCTACCCCCACCTCCACTGCCATCAGACCTGCAGCCAACTCTGCTGCCATTTTCTTGTTTTTAGGACATGTTGTCACCTCCCCCCATAGCCATCCTTCACCCCACCCTATCACTGCTTTCTCAGACATTAGGATGCCATCATCTCTGTGTACCCCTCCCCTCATCCTTTTTAATGACTTGACAGCCACTGTTTTAATCTTCTGTATAGGAAAGAATACTCACTTACTGTGAAAAATAAGCTTACATTATGAGTATTGCCAAGGCAGATGTTACTTCAGTAGCCTGAGAAATTAAAGATGACTTAAAGATGATAACATTTCAGATGATAAGATTTCAAATGAAATTGGAAACTTTAGGACATTTGGTTTCTGCCGCTAACATCTCCAAAGTTAGCAATTATCTTGTTACTCTATTTCATGTGCATACTTCGTTGATTGCCTGTCAACAGCATTCAACAGTGCTAACCACTCTTCCATGGGAAAATACCTTTCTATTGCCTTTTATGCTACTACTTTTGACGAGTAAAGAAAAAAAGATTTTTTCCACCACATTACAGCATCACGAGGAAGGTGGCAGCATGCTGCAGATGATAAAGTGATTCACATTAACTTAATTAATCCCAAAGACGCAGGAACTTGAAGTCAGAGAGAATAAGGGAAGACATATCCTTCAAGATTTTATTTGATAGATTTGGAGAAACTCTATGCATATGATTGTGATTTTTGTCAATTTAATTTGATATCTTTTTTGTTTTTAACTTTATGTCTGTAAAGTGTATTTCTTGTAAATAACAGATATTGGGCTCATCTTCTACCAAATTTGATCATCTTTGCTTTTTACTTAAGGTGCTTAGTCCATTTGCATTTAATATAGCTATTCATATGTTTAAATTTAAGTCTACCCTCTTGGAGTTTAATTTATGTTAACCACTGTCTTTGTCCCTTTTCTCCTTTCCTCACCGTTTTCAGTAATTTTTTTTTTTTTGTAATTCTACTCTTATCTCCTATTAACTTTGTAGTTACATCACTTTATGGGATTCATTAGTGATTGCTCAACAGACTGCAAAACATACCTTTAAGTTATTACTATCTGTCTTTAACAGTGTTATACCTGTTCAAAGCAATGTAAGAAACTTATAACACTACACATCCAAATACCATCCTCCCACCATTTGAAATCTTGTCACATATTTTATATTTTGAAATCTTGTACTATTTTGTTTATAGCTTACCTTTGTGTACTATAAACTACACTAAGCATCATATTTTCTTCCTCTTTCAGGTTTCTCATATTTCTTTTGAGCATAAAAATATGATATAACATTAGAGGTTGAAGTAAATAACATTTATGCCCAGAGGCAGATGCGCCTCTTTTTCTAGGCTGTAAATGGTATCTGTGTATGGCAGGGAGCAAGGAGGTGGGGTAGATAATTTATTCTGGTTTGCATAGAGCTGGTAGTGAGCTTTGTGATAGCTTTAGTTAAGTTCAATTTACAATAAACTTCAAACTTTTTGATGACAAAATCAGAACCTTTCCCGTGACAGGGATTGGGTTCTGGGTGCCTTGAGGGATTTTTTTTTTTTATTTCTCCTACTTTTCTCTCAGTCTTCACCAGATCTGTGTGCTTACTCCTTGGAAATATCTCTATCAGTTATCTTGACTGCTCCACCCCAAACTTGCTGCCCTCGCCCCCACCCCACCACAACAGAAATAGCCAGCTGTTGCCTCATATTATACAAGATATGGAATGCTTGGAGAATTTCTCTAAACTCTCTTACTCTGCCCTCTGACTTATTCAGGCCTCTATTAGTTTACTAGTGCTCCTAAAGAAAAACAACAACAAAAACTACCACAATCTTAAGTGGCTTAAAATAATACAAATTTAATATTTTACAGTTTGAAGGTCATAAACAAGTGAATCTCTGCATAGGTCTTACTGGGCTAAAATTAAGGTGTCAACAGGACTACATTCCTTCTTGGGGCACCAAGGGAAAACCACATTTCTTTTTTCAGCTTCTAGAGGCCACCTGCATTCCTTAGCTCATAATCCCCTTCCATCTTCAGACCCCAAAATTGCATCAACACAAACCTCTGCTTGTCTTATCTCCTCAGACTCTGACATTTCCTGCCTCCATCTTTCACTTATTAGGACTCTTGTGATGACGTTGGACATGAGTGAACATAATACAGGACACTTTCTCAGTCTCAATATTCTTAACCTAATTACATCCGCAAAGTCTCTTTTCCTATGTAAGATAGTATATTCATAGGTTCTGAAGATTAGGACTTGGACAGCTTTAGGAGACCATTATTCTGCCAACCACCGTCCCTCTGTGCCTACACTTCAGGAAGATCTCGCTCAGCTTTCTGGCTCTTCCCCAAGTTACAGAAGTCCTGCTGCAACATATTCACTGTAAATATCAAGGTGCCTATGCGTTTTCTCAATTATCATGCCTGACTTTAGATTCTAGTAAGTTCCACATACCTGTGCCTCAAAGGGTTCTTACTCAATTCCCTGCCAGTCTTCACCTGCACATAACCACTGCCTCATATTCAGCGTAAAATCCACAAATGCTTCTAAGTTTCTTCTCCATTTAACTGTGCAAGTTTCAGACATCACAGGCAGTGTGTTTCTGGGCCACACCGGGGAGTTCCTGACAGCTCCTCTGTCACATCATCAGCCACAGGTGACCACCGTTTTACTCTCTCTCAGGGCCCAGAGAGCTCGTGGAGTTCTATTCATTCAGCTCCAACTTCAGCCCATCTGATACACATGTGCCGTAGAGAGTTAGAAATTTAAAAATTTAAATATCAGAAATGTAAAAATTTCTCTAATGAAATTTTTTAAATTGTCATTTTTTAGGTTTTCCTAGTGTATCTCATCAGTAGAGTTGGGGCAATAATCTGCTTTGTCTATACACACATTATAAGTAGAAGCATAAGTCTTTCCATTTAAATGGAACCTTGAAAGGCAGAATAAACCCATCTAACAAATCATATCATATATATATTATATATATATATGTATATCTGAGAAAGAACCCTTGGAGGAGGATAGACTTCCACTGTAGCTATACCAGTGAAGGAATGATAAGACTTTCCTGCCTTCAGTATTTTATATGTGTACTTAGTTAAGGCCCACTGGAAAGAGTTACAGGTATATAGAGATTCTCCTTGCTCTTTGGCATGGTTCACAGACATGCCAGCACACACCCAATCTTTCAAAAAGTTCTTCTGTCATCTTCTTGCCTTTACAATAGCAGCACGCTTGTCCCCCTGCCTTTTCACCAATGATGAAAGCAGTATGCATCTAATTTTTCCCAAAGCGTGTCCACACCTCTGAATTTTAGTTTATTAGGTTTCTTTGTAAGCTCAGTTGTCTAAAGAAATTTTTTAAATTGTAATTTTTTAGGTTTTCCTAATGTGTGTCATCAGTAGAGTGGGGGCAATAATCTGCTTTGTCTATACACACATTATAAGTAGAAGCATTAGTTTTTCGGTTTAAATGGAACCTAAGAAAGCAGAAAAAAAACTGTCTAACATGTGAGTTACAAATTGGGCTTGTCCAGGATTAGTTTAAACTCCCAATGTTAAATCCATCTGCATCTCAGTCTAAATTACTACCTAATATTTGATTCAATATTTTATCCTCAAAAATCACTGTTAAATTATGGCACGATAGGTGAAGGAAAGACTAAATTTACACAATATGGATTGTACTGATCCACTGAATAATACCACAAAATCAAAAGAAAGTTTTTGCTTTCTTAGCTGGGCCTTAAAGCTCTTATCTTTGCTGTTCTCGATCAGAAGTTCCTTAAAGCCTTTTTCTTTGCTATTCTTGATAGGAAGTTCCAGATGGAAAGCCTGCTAGTATTTATAGTTGCTTAGAGTAATTGTAATTAATTCCAAAAATTTCCTAAAATAGAAGAAGAAAGAACTATGAAACCTGATATAAAAGTATTATTCATTGACACAGACTTTTTCTTAAAATCAAAGTGTTTGCAGGAAGGGGATGTAAAGTCTTTGATCAGGACTTCGGGCCTGTTCAGAGATACATATTTTTATTTATCTGAGAAAGAACCCCTGGAGGAGGATACACTTCTATTGCAGCTAAACCAGCGAATCAACTATGAGACTACTGGGAGAGACCACATGCCATCTGAAACTGAGGATAATCTTAGCAACTGCATTGCCAGAAAATAATGGCTGAACCATGCCACACCTCAGGGATGTTGTGATACTGAGCAGACTATGAGTTAGAACAGTAAAAAAGGCTGGCAAGGAGCCTCTCTCGGGTCTTAGATGCTGTTTGTAGCATTAAAACAGCAAATGCTTCAGGGTGTGGGGCTAGCTGCTGAACAGCAACCAAATGAGCATGCAGTAACGTGGAGAGCAGCTGGTGTGTACACAAATTTTAACCCACAGAAGAAAAAAAAAAATCTTCATAGGTATTAAAAATGTGAGAGGTGTTTGCAAAGAGCTGTGTACAGAGCTGCCGTGGCGAAAAGTGGGTTTGACAAGAACAAACAATGAGACTATTTAGAGTAAAACCCTGCTGGAAATCTCAGCACTTTGATAGGCCAAGGCAGGTGGATCACCTGAGGTCAGGAATTCAAGACCAGCCTGGCCAACATGGCGAAACCCTGTCTCTACTAAAAATACAAAAATTAGCTGGGCAGGTGGTGCAGGCCTGTGGTCCCAGCGACTTGGGAGGCTGAGGTGGGAGGATCACTTGAGCTTGGGAGGCGGAGGTTGCAGTGAACCGAGATTGTGCCACTGCATTCCAGCCTGGGTGACAAATTGAGACCCTGTTGAAGGGAAGGGAAGGGAAGAAGGAAAGGGAAGGGAGGGAAGGAAAGAAGGAAAAGGAAGGGAAGGGAAGGGAAGGGAAGAGAAGGGAAGGGAAACCTGCTACAAAACCTCATTTGGCGTAGGAGATCTGCAGGAATCCATCTAACCTTCAATTCTACCTGTTTGTAGGGAAAGGAAGAGAAAGAGGTAGCACTGGCTGCTTTTAAGGAACAGTCCAGGACAGAAGAACCCTTTAAGATAGATCCAACTCAGAACTAGAGCATGGAAGTGAATGCCTATATGACATAATTCAAATATGTTATGTTTAAAACTTCAGAGGAGTAAAGACAGGAGCCTCCCTCCTAGAAAAGCTCCCAGAGAAGACATGCAGCTCTGACAGGAAATTAATTCTACTAATGTGCTACTGAGGTGGCAGATGGTCACAAACAAGATAGCTGTAACAAATCAACAAATTATCTCCTGGGACATCAAATTTAGCATGCCTGAAGCTGACCCAGGAAAAAGTTCTAGCAATGTGACTCTGCTGCCAAGGACCAAATGATTTGAGCATGATCCCAGATACAACTGAGGATGTCTCCTAGCAGAGAGGCTAGATAGTGCTTGATACAAAATGCTCATGGGACTGGACTACATTCTCAGCATACTATAAAATACATTCTCAGCATACTCAGTTTACAATTACTCAATAAAGTGTTGCCTATGGGAAAATGGATGTTACTTGTCAAATTTCACTAGGAGCTGCAGTGATGGGCTAATTAAGAAATGCTTGGAAAGGATTGAAAAAATTAAGAGATAAACCTTTCTAAACATATGTTGCCCACTCGCATCTGATAAGGAGAGACTCCGGAGTCAGAGGATGAGAGAGTATGCAGGATTAGGGAAACTAACATCACCTGGGATTCAGAAGGTGGAAAAAATGTGACAGAGCAGTGATTCTCAAACGTTAATATTTATGTGAATCACCTGAGGATCTTGTTAAAAATGTAGATTCTGATTTTGCGTTTCTCACATGTTTTCAAGTGAGGCAGATGCTGCTATCTCGGGACAACATTACAAGGAACATGACAATGGAGTTTCAGGCAGAGAAAATAATCTTATGCTCCTAGCTAAACCTGAGCCTCACACTGCGAATTTTTGGTTTTGTTTTGTTTTGTTCTTAAGGAAAGCAATCTCTTTAAAGAAACAAACTGATATGATTTAGCTCTGTGTCCCCACCCAAATCTCATCTCCAATTGTAATCCCCACGTGTCAGGGGAGGGGTCTGCTGGGAGGTGATTGAATCATGGGGGTGGATTTCCCTGCTTTGTTCTCGTGATAGTAGTGAATGAGTTCTCATGCGATCTGGTTGCCTGAGAGTGTGTGGCACCTCCCTCTTCACTCTCGCTCCTGCTCCGCCCTGGTAAAGATGTGCTTGCTTCCCCTTCTGTCATGATTGTACGTTTCCTGAGGCCTCCCAGTCATGGTTCCTGTTATGCCTGCAGAACTGTGAGTCAATTAAACCTCTTTTCTTCATAAATTACCAAGTCTCAGATAGTGCTTTATAGCAGTGTTGGAATGAACTAATGCACAAACAAAAAACCCATTTTGAAAGAAAAGAATCATCTCCTTGATTCCCTCATGGTTTATTTTCTGCTGATACTCTTCCTCTGCTGTCTTTAGTGCTCTTGGAACACAAACAGCCAGGTTCTTCATTCCCACCCGGCATCCCTAGCACTAAAGTTTCCCTAAGACTATAATAAGAAGAGATATAGAACCGTGAACAGGAATAGATGAGACTTGAACCTCTCTGTTATCACTATGAGGTTGTGACAAAAGTCTTATATTCTGAGTGCTGACTTATGTGGGTTTTTGCAAACAGATCATATTGATAAACATCATATATTAAAATGTTTATTCTTACTCTTATTATATTCATGAAGCCATGTCTTCCTAAATGGTGACAATTTTAATATGAAAACTTGATAAGAAAATAGCATATGAGATGTGATATATTCCTCCATAAGACTGAATTTGTACAAAATGGAAAGTTGATGCTGACCTGACGTATTATGTAGATATATGGTAAACTGTCATAGATGCCAACATCTATCTGAATGTAAAGGTGGCTCCTCCAGATGCTACTTTCAGCAGGTGCATCAAAAAGGCTGCAGGTTTTCCCCAGACTATTCCTTGAGCAGGTGTTATTATACAACATCTGCTATTTTCCTGCTCATAAACCTTTAATTGAAGTCCTCTCCACACTAACAGTCTAGTTATCTGATACTTATTTGGGTCAGGTTTGTTTGAAGCCCTTAAAAAAAGGCGGGGGGGCATACACCATCTTAAGATTCATAGCCATTCCTCCTGAGAAATGGTGAGTAACCAGGCAACTATTATAAATTGCTACCTTTAGAGAAGATGTCCTTCTTTGGTTTTGGGATTTGTTTGTCTCATTTGCAGTCAAATAATCTTTTTAAACTAGTCTTCGGTGCAAAAATGGAGAGGCAGGCTTATGATGTGTAATATAGGCTGAAATATTAGTAAGTTTTTCTCACTCATTTTTTAAATTATCTGTAACTTAGGTTACAGCAAGATTCCCAGACTTTAGAATTTATGGATCAATATAATTTTAAAATAAATAAAAATTGAGGAACTAGGATAGGGCTGCAGCATTCATGTTGCCAATTAAGTGTTTCTAAAGAAGGAAAAAGTAGTCTCAACCACTATCTGCTATGAGCACAATTTCATAAAATGAAAACTACATGAACCATGAGATAGAGTAAATAGGAGGGATAGTCTTTCAGAATAAAAGCAATTTTAAGCCAAATAAACTTAGCTTTACGGAAATTTCACTTTCTATTGTATTTCTTCTTTCTGTTGTGAATTCTTCACTTATGTTAACTCTCACGCCATATTTCTCTTTTGCCTCCTTGCTCATATGTACCACACATATTTTAAATCTGAGCATTTATCTAATGGTTATCCACTAATAGAGGGTGAATTCAAACCTAGGACTATTTGATTTTAACTTTGCCATATAACCTCCTGGTAACAACCTCAAAGCAAACCCCTCTCTTCCATATTTTTGTTATTTTTCTCTTCAGTTTGATTTTTTCCCTCTGTCCTGAAAAAATATTGGCAAATTATTGCTTCTCGGTTATTCTAATTTAAGTCAAATGCTCATCGTTTCTAATCTGTTATCTTAAAATTGTCCTATAATTTGCTTCTATAAACTCAGTCTGTATTTGAATATGTATTAGTCAAGATTCTCCAGAGAATCCATATCTGTGTCTATATCTACCTATTGACACAGATATGGATATAAATATACAAATGGAGCTTTATTGTGGGAATTCACTCATGCAATTAGAGAGGTCAGTAAGTCACCTGATATGTTGTCTGTAAGACAGAGAACCAGGAAAGTCAATGGTGTAATTCAGTCTGACTTTGAAGGTGTGAGAACCAGGAGCTCCAATATCTGAAGTCAGGAGTTGTTTCGGCTCAAGAAGAGAGAGAAGACACACACCTGGCCTACTTCATTCAGCCCTTTTGTTCTATTTGGGCCCTCAATGGGCTGGATAATACCCATTCTCATTGTCGAGGGTGGATATTGTTTTACAGTCCACTGATTGAAATGCTAGTCTCTTCCAGAAACACCTTCACACACACCTCAAAATAATGTTTTACCAGCCATCTGGGTATCTTTTAACCCAGTCAAGTTAACAAATAAATCTAACTATCACAGAGTCCCGAAATGGAAAATTAGATATTATATCAATCCCTTTCTTTAAAACTGATCTGAAAGTTTTCCTTTGTCTTCAGATGATACATGTTTTCCAAAGATGGCCTGTTCCACATCCCCACAATTTTATACTCATTTTCTTATTTCTACTCCTGTCCACATACCTTACACTTTGCCTGTTTATGCATCTGAGCCTTACGCTGGAAATCCTATCTGCCTGTAAGATCCATTCTTACTGTTTCAAGTAGGTAACTCCTGTTCATCTTTTAAGACTAAGTTCATATTTTTCCTTCCCCGGGAATCATTTTTTGACCTCTTAGCCAGGCAGGTGCTCCTTCTGTAATCTGTTTTGTTACCCCTGTATAACACTGAGAGATGATGTAGAAAAAAAGCAAGTTCATGGGCACTTGAATCAGAAAATTTGAAATCCCAACTCTTTTCATTTTACTAGCTTAATCACCTGGGTAAGTTACTTAAGCTGTTTGAAACTGTACTTCCATATTTATAAAATGGTAACAATATCAACCACAGCATTTATTGAGATATAAAGAATGCCACTTACAGTAACTGGCTCAAAGAAAACAAATGACAGTTAAGTTTCAATGGTCAATTTCATTGTGAATATTCAAAATTTTGATTACATGCAGTTACTGTATTAAACCAAAAATGTTCTGTTATTTGACTACCTTCCCCACTAGACTGTTCTTTGAAGTAGAGACTGTGTTTTTTATGTATCTCTAGAGAACAGCTCAGCAAATTGCATTGTGTTGGTTGAATTAATGAACAATCTTGTACCTTAAAACATTGTGACTTACAGGAAATTAACTTATATGAAAAAGACACCTGAAACAGAGCCAGTAGTCATTGTATGCATTTTTAGTTTTCTCTGGGGATCACCTTATGAGAAGGCAAGCATGATACTCAGAGAACGCTCTCTGGGGCACACTCTTTCCTCAAGTCAGAGTTTCAAAGTAATCTTATGTTGTTTCATGATATCACACCCAAGTAGACTTTTCTAGGCTCTTATTAGAGAACTAATACAGTTCTGTACTTTGTTTTATGGCCACTAAAAGCAAATATTGCAGCTCGGTATTTTCATAGAATTCCATTTCTGATCATCTTGCTAAATATATCAATTATTGTCGGTACAAAAATCTTGCTTTCAAATATTTGATAACAAAGAGCTTAAGCATAAACTATTATTTCTTAGTTGTTTATAGAGATTTGAACTAAAAATAAGATTTGATATCTCAAAATGGCATACTAGTAAGCAGGTAAAATATTTAAAGGCAAAAGCACAGCTGCAATGTGAATAAGATATTATTAGACATGTCCTTGATCTTTAGCTTTATTACAAGTTGGAGACTGTTAATTTTTAATATAATTCATTTCAAATGACAGATAAGATAGATTGTTTCCAATGGTAGTTCACATCAAAGAAATGATGTAACATGCCTGACTACCAAACATAATGGTTTGATTAATTCATTGAATTAATTACTTCTTTTGTTGCATATTCATGTATTTTATTGAGGAAGGAAATCCCTCAAGATTGCTTATCTGTGGAGAAACATGTTGAATATAAAATGAACAAGATGTTTAAATTTAAAAAAGAAATTAGAAGATAGTACTAGTTGCCCACCCAAATGATGCTGTTTGGGCATATGATTTACAAATTGGTTAAAGGGTTAAGTATTTGTTTAGTGTAAAGGAGAGGGGGTTACAAATATGATTATCACATTGTTATTGAACTTGACAGAACATAAATATTGCAACCAGTCACCATTCCATTTGGTAAAGTAATTTCCTTTTGGTTTATTAAGAATTCTAGCATAGGCTTTTAGGTTATGATAGTAGTTCTTTACCAATTTGTTGTTTTCCCCCATTTAGCTATTGAAATCACTCACAAAAACATTGATTAAAACACACAAATACAATAGCATTAGGACATGATCATATTGATTAATTATGTGCCAGAACCAAGGAGAACTGTTTACTAATCAAAGTGGGAGCTAAGCTCTGAAGCAGAACTAGCACTTTCAGGAAAAGCATGATAAGACATTTTCATTCACACTCAGTATACCATTCTTGCTCAGATACAAACTTATCAGAAGGACAAAGTCATGCATTCCTAACTGACTGAAAGGTGATTTTTTGTTTGTTTTATTCAGTCAGGGATTTGTTTAGCTTTCTTAATATTTCATGTCATTGTAACCCTCATTCCAGTGGAAAAAATACTCTACATGGATTTGGAGACCATGACACCCAACAATGCAATTTAATTAAAGCAGATGAAAGCAAGTAATGATAGATTATTTGCAAAATAAAAAGTAATCAATGGAAACATCTATGAGAGAAGTTAGGTGTGTACCTTGGTTTCTATACTTTTACTCATTTTTCATTGTCCAGTATGGTAGATACTAGTCATATGTTGAAAGTCAGCCCTTAAAATGTGACTAAATTGAGATGTGTTTTAAGTGTCAAATACACACCAGATTGTGAGGAGTTCATATTAAAATGTAAAATATTTTATAAATATATTTTATATGGATTTTATATTTTAGGTATATTGGTTTAAATAAAATATCTACCTATTTTAATTTTTAATGTGGTTACTACAAAAAAATTCAGTTATATGTGTGGCTCACACTTGTGGCTTGCATTCTGTTTATATTTGACAACCCTAGTTTAAAAACTTCCTCCCCGAGAGCTCTTATAATGATGCAGAACTATATTTTTGCATATATAATTGCACAAATAGACAGTAGAATCAGTGTTTTTTTTTCTTTTGTCAGTAAGACAAGTCTAAAGAATACCAAACAGTTAATAGTGGTGGATGTCTAATTTTACCACACTTCCAATCCTAAACTGCTTAAAAATGGAAAGTTCTAGTAGCAAAAAAACATATAGTGAGGGAGACTAGAAAAACATTGTTCACTCTGCTAGTGGACACAAATAAGTTGTCGACATTCTATTATTATTCAGTCTATGAACAAATACAGAAATCTTTACAACAATAACAAAACGTGGGCCTATAAAAATATTTTCTGGCCGGGTGCAGTGGCTCACGCCTATAATCCCACCACTTTAAGAGGCCGAGGTGGGCGGATCACAAGGTCAGAAGTTCGAGACCAGCCTGACCAACATGGTGAAACCCCGACTCTACTAAAAATACAAAAATTAGCCGGACATGGTGGCATGTGCCTGTAATCCCAGCTATTCGGGAGGCTGAGGCAGGAGAATCGCTTGAACCCAGAAGGTGGAGGTTGCAGTGAACCAAGATTGTGCCATTGCACTCCAGCCTGGGTGACAGAGTGAGACTCCATCTCAAAAAAAAAAAAAAAAAAAATTCTATTATAATAGACTCCAACCTTTCATTGTACTATCGAGTGGGGAATTATCTCAGGAGTAAGAAGGTCATTTTAGGAGACTTTTGATTGTATTCTTAAAAAAATTCAAGAAGGCATGATTTTATAAAACAAGATGGCAAATTAAATTGCTTAGAAAATAGACTAAAATACAAATACAGTTGATTGTAGAAGACAGAATAAATAGGACAAAATTTCAAAGAAAATGACATGTGAATAGAAGCATCCAATATCTTATTATACTCATTTCTCATTAAGCTAACCAATTAAATGTTAAAGTCACAGAGAAACTAGGAACAATGACAACCTCATTCCGGAAATTCCCAGCAGTATTTAGATATAATGCAGGTGGGATCAGATAGAAATCAGTCATCAAGAACCAACTCTAAAAATCCATTTATATCAAGAATTTAGTACAAGAAAATCTGCTTAAACCCTACTAACATTGCCTAACTTGTAAAGATAAGAGTTGTACTAAAAAATGTGCCATGAGTCAGTCAAACGCCAAGTAAAGGTAATTTTCAAGAAGAAAAAGAGAAGCAAAAAGAGAAAAAGGAAAATGAGGTCTGACATTCCATATTTTACCATAAATGTAATTTTCAAGAAGAAAAAAGCAAAAAGAAAAAAAGGAAAATGAGGTCTGACATTCCATATTTTATAATGAGGTCTGACATTCCATATTTTACCACAAAATCTAGAACTTTTGGAGTGTTTTCACGAATTGTTTCATGTTCCACTAGCATTTCTTCCAAAGTTTTAGTGTAGTTCTGTAGAGATCACCTGTAATTATTTTCCAAACAAGCTTCTCATTGTTTTCCTGTTTACACTTTATGACTCTTCATCTTTTAAATTCCCTTTGCATATATTTTGATTGAAAACCATTGACATTTCTTTCTTTTTTTAAATTTTCCTTTCTTTTCCTTTCCCTCCCTTCCTCCCTCCCTCCCTCTCCCTCTCTCTCTCTCTCTCTCTCTCTCTCTCTCTCTCTCTTTCTTTCTTTCTTTCACACAGAGTCTCGCTCTGTTGCCCTGGCTGGAGTACAGTGGCACGATCTCGGCTCACTGCAACCTCTGCCTCCCAGGTTCAAGCGATTCTTGTGCCTCAGCCTCCCGAGTAGCTGGAATTACAGGCATGTGCCACCACGTCAGGTTAACCTGTATTTTTACTAGAGATGAGGTTTTGCCATGTTGGCCAGGCTAGTCTTGAACTCCTGGCCTCAATAGATCTGCCAGCCTCGGCCTCCCAAAGTGCTAGGATTACAGGCATGAACCACTATGCCTGATGAAAATCACTGACATTTCTGGCCTTTGTGTGTCATTCTTCTTTAATTTCTATTGTTATGTCTTGAAATATTTATTGCAAACGTTTTTTAAATTGAAGAAAATGTAGAATTCATGTAATGAATAAGACTTTAGAGAATACTGCTACTTTTAAATGAAAGCAAGCACTAAGGGAGAGGGGAAATCTGAAACGTAAAAAGAGAGAAAGAGAATGAAAAACTCATTCTGAAACTGAATTGCCAAATTCAGAACTTCAAAAACATTGTTGAACAGAAGTCTGGATAATGCAAAAATTCAAATCAGAGGAAAAATTACAAGCTTCAGAAGACAATTAAGAGATATCAAGAGCAGATGAAGAAGAATAAAGTATAAAGAGGAATTAAGTAATATTGTCAAAAAAAGTGTTAAAGTGTTGATGAGGTGAAGAAGTGAAAACAGAGCTTACAGCTCTTTCCTGCTTCTGGTTTTTGCACTGCTTGTCTTGATCATAGTGCTCTATACATATTAGTTTGTTAGCTTGGTTAATTCTCACAACAACCCCAAGGCTGTGATTACCATCTGCATTTACAGATAGGAACCCAGAGCAATTGCCTGAAGTTGACTGTGTCAAATTATAGTTGCTATGTGACAGAGCCAGGATTCAGTTTGAGACTTAGACTCTGCATTATGTGTGTTTAGCCAATTTAGTACATCACCTCTCAAGAAAGATGAGCATCCATAACTAAGAACATGACAAGATTAATTTAAACACAGCTACATTTGATAACACTTGGTTTAAGCAAATTATATGTACATATAAATATATGTGTGCAGAAATATATATTTTTCAAGTATTGATTCCTAAGCAGTCTCCCACAAGCACTAACAAGGTCCGACCCTGCTTAGCTTCCAGGATCAGGTGCATTCTGGGTGGTATGGGTGTCAACAATACCTCAAGTATTTATGATAATCTGGCAAGAAAAGACAGAATATCTATAAAAAATGTCTATAGATATCTGGAAGCATCTCTGTGGCAATAGCCAGAGCTAAAAGATAATGGATCCTTTTCTATGGAGCTGAAAAAGAACAGATACTGTTATAAATAAATCTTTAACAGAGCCAAATAACTCTTTATATATTCATAACACCAGGAGAACATCCTTAGGTATATTAGGTATTGAACAGCATACCATGTATAAACATTCAGGAAGTTATACAACAACACATAAACACTAAAAAGGCAAATTCATCAAAATTAGGAATTTTTCCATTGAGAAATTGTAGTAGCATAATTGACAGTAGCCATAATAAAGAATTTTTAAATTGAGGAATTCTAGTACAATAATTGACAGTAGCCATAAAGTGTTTTTGATGTGTTTACTTATCCCCTCTCCATTGGCAATCAGTTTTTTAAATGGTATAGTTCAATAAGGTTGCAAAAAAAGCTGTTTGTACAGTCAGCCCTCTGTAATTGCTAGTTCTGCATCTGTAGATTCAAGTAACCACAGATGCCAACCAACTGCAGATTGAAAATACTCAAACACAGACGAAATAAAAATAATACAATAATAAAAATTATATACATAAAAACAATACGGTAAAACTATTTACATAGCAGGGTGGCGCAGTGGTTCTCACTTGTAATCCCAGCACTTTGGGAAGCCAAGGTGGGTGGATCACCTGAGGTTGTGAGTTCGAGACCAGCCTGACCAGCATGGAGAAACCCTGTCTCTACTGAAAATACAAAAAAATTAGCCGGGTGTGGTAGCTCATGCCTGTAATCCCAGCTACTCGGGAGGCTGAGGCAGGAGAACTGCTTGAACCTGGGAGGTGAAGGTGGTGGTAGTGAGCCGAGATCGTGCCATTGCACTCCAGCCTGGGCAACAACAGCAAAACTCTGTCTCAAAAAAAAAAAAACAGCTAACTATTTACATAGCAATTACATTGTATTTGGTATTAAAGTAACCAAGTATACTGGAGAATTATATAGGTTATAGGCACTATGCCACCTTATGTAAGAAATGAGCATCCACCGATTTGGGTATCCACAGGGGTTCCTGGAACCAGTCCCCCTTGGATATTGAGGGACAGTATCTATGTTTATGTACTTGTATGTAAATATATATTTATACATACATCATGTATATGCACATATATACACACATTACAAATATACACATATCATCTTATTTAGTAATCAAACTAATATTTAGTAAGCATTTTGTAAAAGAACTGCCTTCTGATGTTCATGTCCTGCTAATTATTCACGACTGCCATTCTACACCCACCAGATAAGTGGCAATTAGCAATCATTTGTGTTTGCTCCCAAGACTGATTTTGCCAGCTGCACTTGTTATTTTGATGATAAAATGTAATAAATTATTATGTAATCTGATAAAATATTAATGCGAAAATCTTGCGTTCTTAAAAGCTCTAGGTCAAATGTTTTACAAAGTCCCAAGAAATCAAATTTAAAAACTATTATAAGCAATTGTAGACCTTTTTTAAAGAGTCAAAGAAATAATAAAAACCTAGAATGTAGGATTCTGCACTAATATTGCTTTATAAAATATCTTTAACTTTTCTCTCCATCTTAAAACCTAAAATTGAGGTTCTAGAGGATGTACTATGAGTGCAGATTATGGAAAAACAGAATAAAATTTCACCTGGTTGACTCAGATTTCATTAATATCCATTAGCTCTACATCAAAATGTGACCAGATTGATGAACATGTATGTCTGAACTTAATCTGAAATAAAGTTATTTTTGTCATTATCTGATAAAACTAACTTTTAAAAATTTGTCTATTTAAAGCTTGCCTCAATCCTACAAGAAAGTGTTTCTTTGTCATCTATCATCTCAACACACACACGCACACACACAGAAAATCATCAATAAAGGTATAAACTGTGTTATCAGAGGAAAAAAGTATCTCCTATTAAATATATTTTCTATTTATAAATGAATATTATTAATTATTAAATAAAAATACCAGTTTGAAAACATAGCTTTGTATAAATCCTTAAGAAAAATTATCTCCTATGTCTATGATTAGTCTATTCATTTATAATTTGAAAAACCTCTTATGGTTTTGAAATAATCAATTTTGAAATAATAAAATATTGATGGAAAAAGTCATCTATAAGTCTTATAGATGGTAAAGTGGAGGAAATAGTTTGTAAATTGTGTAATACTTCACATATTCCAGGCTTAACAACTATGAAAAAATTTGACTTCAAATTTGTGCCAATCTTGCTTATTATACCTGAAAAAAATTTGCCTACAATTTTGTTATAGTATATATAGTATTTCACATTAAAAATATATGCTAAGAAATCACAATTTTTTTCAGTCCATATATTTAACACTCACTGTAAAAAGGATATACAATGCAAAATATTGAAATTTCCATGTCTACAAAGAAAAGAAGGACATAATATTTATAGTATAACTTATTGTTTTGCAAATGTTGTTGTGTTTTTATACATGTTATGTTAGTTTAAAAAAATCTCAAAACAATCCTTTTTTTGGCATTATATTCCCCCTTTCACAAATGAGAAAATTAGGTTTGAATAGTATTTTTCTGCACTGATAAGGGATAAAATCTGGTTTTTAACCTGTCATTGTCTGTCCCCCAAAGAAGCTTCTCTTTCAATGGTTGACAGAGCATGTAGTCCCTAGACTAGCAGCATCTTTTTGGAAATGCGGGTTTTTTTAGCCAAACTGCAGACCACCTGAAATCAGAAACTCTAGGGACGGTACTCATCAATCTTCTTTAGCTCTCCAGGTGATTCTGAGGCACGTTCTATCTGAGAACCATTGAGCTACATCACTGATTAGAAAAGAACTAAAGATTGAAAAATAAACAGAAGTTTCCAGAATCATTTAAAATGAGTCTTTCTTTTTTCTATCTTCTACCCCCTTTCTGCTTAAAATCCACAGGACTCTGGAGGATTTCTAAATAAAATGTTGAATTTTATATGTAAAATATAACAATATTTGTTGCTAAGGTCATACTTATCTCTTTATTCTGTGCATGACTATTGTGTTCATCTTGTTCTGAGATAAAGAAAGGTCTTTGATTTTTATTTACCTAAAATTACAATTTTAACCTCTGAAATGTGGTGTTTTAAAAAGTGACACTAAAAAGTTAAGGCAAAGGAAATAATGGATCTGGGAACTATTATGCTATCTTTTCCACCTTTTCCTGGGTTCCATAGAATTTATGCCTTAGAAATATCACTTCGTTTATTTATCCTATGGCATCTCTTCTCTATTCCCTTAAATCTGTTACAATGGGACATATCTGTTGTGGATGACAAACATGATCTTCCTCTCATTTAATAAGTTGTTTGTTGTTGCCATTGCTTATATTATTTGTAATGTTATCCACTCATTCTTCTGTGTGCAAATCCAGGTCTGCAGCTTGATCACCAGAACAGTTTCTGTAGGAATCCAAATCTCCCTCAAAAATATAAAAGACAGATGCATTTGGGAGATTTCTTCAGGTTATTTTGATGGTCTATCTTTAGTCAACATAGCAGGAATTAAGAGAAAAAGTAAGAATCCATAGCATGCACTGAGCTCCATCTTCCAAGCACCTGGGGGTTTTGATGGTGGTAGCATTCTAAACTTTATGGAGACAAAGATACCAATCTTTTTCATTAGTCTCATACTTTAATCTACCTTGTAAATGTCAGTTATATATTCACTCATATTTCTAAAAGAATTTTTTTTCCTTTTTAATGTATTTATCTAATTTACCTGGAATTATTGATAAGATGTGGTTCTGATTAGATTTTTTCCCTCAAATATCTGTCAGAGCTCCTAGTATTATTTTATTCTTCTTTCTCTCATTCTTTTTTTTTTTTTTTTTTTTTTTTTTTTTTTTTTTTTTTTTTGAGATGGAGCTTCTCTCTTGTTGCCCAGCCTGGAGTACAATGGTGTGATCTCAGCTCACTGCAACCTCCGCCTCCTGGGTTCAAGTGATTCTCCTGCCTCAGCCTCCCGAGTAGCTGGGATTACAGGCACGTACCACCACGCCTGGCTGGTTTTTGTATTTTTTTAGTAGAGATGGGGTTTCACCATGTTGGCCAGGCTGGTCTTGAACTCCTAACCTCAGCTGATCCATCAGCCTCAGCCTCCCAAAGTGCTGCAATTACAGCTGTGAGCCACCATGCCTGGCCATTTCTCTCATTCCTATGAAATACTTCCTTTACCAGACACAAAAATCACATGTAGACCAACATCTAGTTTTGAGTTATCTACTGTTACTAAAATTTGAAATAACTTGAATAATTTATGCCTATATCACCCACTGTCTGCCGACTTTAAAAATATTCTTAAGATTATTCTCAATTTTAATTGGCTGACTTTAGAATCATTGCCATTTGTTTTGAGTTAAACCTATATACTAATGTAAGAAATAAAAACGTGTCTCCTGTCTAAAATTGGGTGTGATTTTACAATTATTCAAATTTTATTTTATGTTTCTTCTTATAATTTAAAAACTCTCTCTGCTAAGGCCTGAGATTTTACTTGTTATGAAATATTTATGGAATAATCTCTCATTTTATGCTTTAGTATTGTATGATTTGTGTGGCTCTTGTTAATTTAAAAAGGTGATCAAATTCCCTCCATATTTCACAACTAATTGTATATACATGAAACATTTGTACATTTTTAATTCTCACTTTTGCAAAACTTTATTATTTCTCTCTAGTTATACCATTTTCCTTTTTGACAATATAGCACACAATTTAGCAAAATATCTAATACCCTTAGGAAGGGTGCTATGATTGATTTCCAATGTAAGGAATTCCACAGGACACTGAAATTCTTTGTTAGCCTGTAACTAGAAACAGAATGATCTATACTCTTCAAGGAACAGATATAAATAAAAACTAGTGAGAGAAAGTGGTTTTGCAGGTTAGATTAAATCAATGTCTGTAAATTAGAATTCTAATAGTCCAAATTCACATTTCTGGGTAAATCCCATGAAAGCTCCAGACTATTTCTTTTGGGTACAAAAAATTACACAGTAATGCAACCAAGAACAATTTGATATGGAGATATTTTATACATTTTCTTCATTTTCCTTTTCATGAAATTTGTGAATAAACTAGAATTTAATACTAGCATTTGATTCTCAACTCCCATTTGGTGAACAGCATAATTATCTTAGGTGGAAGAGCTAATGCAATGCCTTAAGCTAAGGATTGTTTTTCCTCTTGCTCTAAACCTGAAGCTTTCATACTTGAGATAATCTATCACTTTGCCTTGCCGCTATGGAAACAATAGTGGATATGACTAATTAAATTAAAACTTGCCCATTTATTGTAATACAGACAGAGCACAAATCTTAAAATTATACCTTACTGGACCTTCATCTGTAAACTGTGGAATAATAACAATGGAAAATGGACTGGAAAATATTAAAGTGTCTCATAAATATTTGTATGATAATATACAAATACTATTTTATTCCTCTATTTTATATAGAAATATTAAAGCCACCAATTACTGAGTTATATTATTCATTTTCTTCTTATTTCCAGCACGAAATCACTAAAACAATATTTAATAAATCTCTAAATATGCCTGGAGCTATGCTAATAGGCAATTTACAGATCAATTTTTACCACCTATTAAAGGCTTAAATTTAATTAAAAATTATAATCCAGAACTTGGTTGGTGTTTTTTTAAAATATGCAGAAAGTTATAAGAAAATGTTTCCTTAGTCAGCATGAAATATTTGTGGACACGAAATTCGTTGTTAGAGATTTTAAACAATGTATGGATTAAACAATTATAGGCACTTATTAATAAATAATAGACCCTTACCACTCATTTATGATGGATTATAAAGTGTTATCTTTTGAAAAAGTGATTTTTCTTTATTTTAATTATTACATTTCATGCATGGAAAGCAACATAGGAACTGTTATTAAATCCTACCTAGATAGAAATAAAATGGCTTGAGCTACAAATTTAGAGGCTGTTTCTACATGACAGCAAGACATTTCAACAATTAAGTCAGTTCAGTAAATATCAGACAAATATTGTTTCACTGAATTGCTACATTGAACTCACTTTAGTTGCTTCACTGAACTGACAGTTTTTTTTGTCTGGTTGGTTGATATAAAAATAGTTATTAGTAAAAGGAAAGTGTGCATTTTGTAAAAACTATGACAATGATATTTAATTTCCTTTTGAATATTATTAATTTAAATATGTGGCATATATTGTCCAAAGAGTCTTAAAGCATAAAATTGAGTAATCTTTTATGGTAGAACACACACACACACACACACACACACACACACACCCTCTTTTGGTGCATTTGCATTACAAAAAATTGGAAGAAAGTATTACCTCTTTGTAAAACCTTTTCATTCAACAGTTTTATGAATCAGAAATTAATTTTGTTTCTGTCCTTGAATTTTTCTTTTTTTTTTTTTTGAGATGGATTCTCACTCTGTCACTCAGGCTGGACTGCAGTGGCATGACCTCGGCTCACTGCAACCTCCGACTCCTGGGTTCAAGCAATTCTCCTTCCTCAGCCTCCCAAATAGCTGGGACTACAGGCACGTGCCACCACACCCAGCTAATTTTTGTATTTTTAGTGGAGACGGGGTTTCACCATGTTGGCCAGGGTGGTCTCAATCTCCTGACCTCGTGATCCTCCCACCTCGGCCTCCCAAAGTGCTGGGATTATAGGCGTGAGCCACCACACCCGGCCAAGGAGAACACTTCTTTTTTTTTGGAAGGAATTTCACTGTTGTTGCCCAGGCTGGAGTACAATGGCACGATCTGGGCTCACTGCAACCTCCGCCTCCAGGGTTCAAGTGATTCTTCTGCCTCAGCCTCCCAAGTAACTGGGATTACAGGTATGTGCCACCATGCCCGGCTAATTTTTGTATTTTTAGTAGAGATGGGGTTTCTCCACGTTGGCCAGGCTGGTCTCGAACTCCTGACCTCAGGTGATCCTCCCGCCTCAGCCTCCCAAAGTGTTGAGATTACAGGTGTGAGCCACCATGCCCAGCTGAATTTTTTTTTTAACTCAAACAGATTCTGATAGACAAAATCTATTTCTGAGTATTGCTAATATTCTGTAACTTAATCTGGGTGCTGGTTACACAGTATATTCCATTTGTGAAAATTGAGTATGCTATACACTTATACTATAAGCATTTTTTTCTGTATGTATGTTTTACTTCAATAAAAGTTTTGTAAAACTGTCCAGTTCCATATATTAATCAAAAAGTATTTAAGTCTCTCTTTCATCATTTGGATCCTTTAATTTGTGAGAAGCTAATAAAAGCAAGTGGTCCTTCTTCCATTTCTAATGCTTCCATTCCATCTTGCTAACCAGAGTTTCTGACAACTCCATGGTCAGGTGAAGAAAGGATACAGGTTAGAGGGTTACATTAGTTAGGATTGTCCAGAGAAACATAATTAATGAAATGCATGTATAGGTATGGAAATAAATTTATTTTAAAAAATTGGTTCAGATTATTGTAGGGACTGGGAGGTCTGGCAGGCTAAAGACCCAGAGAAGAGTTGATGTTGCTGTCAGAGTTTAATGGCAGTCTTGAGGCAGAATGTCCTCTTCCTTGGGGGACCTGGGTGTTTTTCTCCTAAAACCTTCAACTGATTGGATGTGGTCCACATGCATTATGGGAGGTTTTTTGCTTTACTCAAAGTCTACTGATTTGAATGTTAATCTCATCTAAAAAATTTGCATGATATCCAGACTGGTGTTTGTCCAAATATCTGGGCAATGAGGCCAAGTTGATATGTAAAGTTAACCATCACAGAGGTCATGAGGTTCTTGTTTTACTTTACTTTTTCAAGTTGATGATGTACCTCTGGGCAGAACAGATCATAAAAAATGACTTTTTTATGGCTTTATCTCTTTGATACTTCCCAGATTCCTGAAATGACTACTAGAAACAACTGACTGCACTTCTGTGACCTGGGTAATGTACTCCCTTTTGCTGACCAGTCTAACTCGGCTTGTTACTATTGTTGCTGTGTATTTGTATGTTTTAAGTATACCTTATTCTCTCTTTGATTATGTTTTCCTCTTCCAGAAGTAATTGGGGGCAAGATTTTAAATGGTTCTGGTCTGGCTCACGCTCTCATTTGGTGATATTTGATCCACAGAGAGTGAAGATTGATCCCAACACAGCTACCTCTATTTCTGCATACTGTGTAGCAGAAAGCTAGCCTATCTCTTGTGTTTTACATGTCCTGGTAGGCATTCTATACAGGCCACTAACCACAAACTGCAGAAGATACATATTAACCTTTCTGAGTAGTATCCTTGAAAAACCTCTTACAAGGTTTTGGGTTAGAGGTGGACATACTCCACCCCTCAATTTTAGCTTTAAGGAAGTAACACTCAGAGCTCAGCTCTTTACAGAGAAATTCAGTCTAAAATCCTCTGTTAATCTACTACAAGCCAAATCTTTACAAAGCAGGTATAAATGAGGGTTTAAGATCCATATAGCATGTGTTTTTTTTCTTTTAATAACTCCATTCTTTTAGGGTGGCCTGACAAATTACTTTGGGACCTAATAATTATTGTCTTGTTGTCCCGGCTAAAACTTATCTTAACAGTCCATTGAATAAGTTTACAAATTGAATATTTGACTTGTGATATCAGATCCAACACCCCTTGATGTATTTATGAAGAACAGTGTTTTCACACAGACATGCATACCCATATAAAGTCCATAAATTGATGAAGCAGAAAGATAGCCTACGTTTTGTTAAAATTTTTTTGGATGGTATGCTATGTCTTCCTTTGGCAGGGAAGACTAACCATGATGCTTTTTTCTTTGACAGACATACTGTTAGAATACCAGGAGAGATTATGATACAAGAAAAAATGTGTTATATATTATAATTGATTACATAGAAGAGTGGAAGGCGTCAATGGCAGAACAAGAGGCAGGAGTAAAAGGGGAAAGGACAGAGAACAGTAATACATGCTCAGCAGGCATGGCAAATACAGAAGATATAAAGCCAGTCATGGTTAATAGCAGTTGAGTCAAAAAAGATAAGTTCAAATCCAAGAATTATCACAGAGTGAGTGTGTTGTGACCAGTGGAGGGGGAAGGGCCAAAGTAACAGGAGATGATATTCAGAGATACAGGAAGACAGAAGTTTGTTACCAATTGTAAAGTCTGAAATTCAGATGTGAGACCTCAGGTGTAGATTTGAGAATTTCCATGGACAGAATTTCATCCCCAAGGAAAGGTTTTTAAGTGAGAACAACTCATAAAGTACCCTTACTCTCGGTAAAGATGTTAAGGCATCCTATTCATATGGTAGGTGTATTATCAGAGAAAAGGATGTGTTTTGTTTACTTGTTCCCATGACCTAACAAATGCCTAAAAAATAAAACCAGTGTACAAGTTCAAAGCCATCCTACCAGCAAAAGGATGCCAATTTAACTAGCTCATCATTAGGCTAGCAATTCAGATCCCCAGGGTAATGATCATTATTTTTCCATAGTTTCATTGTACTAGTCAGCATTTATTTTGTTGCAAATGCAGATCAACTGAAGAAAATAAGGCAAACAAAACCAACTAGGATTTGCATGAAGCCAGGGTCTAAAAGCTATTAATCTATCACCAGGTCCTTCTTACTCTCTCATTCTCTTGAGTCCATTTCTCTTTACGGACTGGTATCATTCCTTTTGAAATAGAAGACTCATGTTGTTGATATTAGCAAAAAAGAAAAATATAAAAACTTATTCTCATAAAAAGATCAATAATGAAAAAACAGGAATGACCTCTAATACATAATTGTAGGCCGAATCTGGATATTTCGTCAATAAGCATGTTGTGAGTTGATCATATCGTAAAATCTGAATCTAGACTTGAGGTTCTACTAGACCTATAACTTAGATAAGTTAATAAACTTCACTCAGATTTAGTTCCTTCATATATAAAATGAATATAGAGGTACTTTGAAAAGTTGTTAGCATTAATGAAATAAAGTATAAGTGACATACTGTGGACACACAGTAGTTGCTCAATAAATAGTTGAAAGGATCAATTAGTACATATAACAGTATTCCCAGGCCACACCAAAAAGGGTTAACAATTGTAACGGTATTTATTCTGATCCCTCAATCAGTATTTCAGAAACTAGAACCACAACTCACTGAGAACTTTCCTTTTGTAATGGGTCTTTGCAAGCTTATTTTCGTTTTATGCCTTTGTCAACTGCTCCTTTTGGTAATGCAGATATCAAGAATGGCACACAGGCTCCTTTCTGCCACTGTAGTACTATTGGCTCTTCTCACTGCAGCCAATGCTGGTGTTTCAAAGCAGGTTTCTCCCTAAGTTATTACAATTCTCATACATTACAAAAAGAAGTCTTCCTTTTTTGTTTCCTAGTTTTATCTTTCTTACAACTTGAAAAATGTTTCACAGGAACTGGGGCAGAATTAAGAAACTCCCTTTTGTGGCAGAATCAGGAATTTTTGTCCTCACCAATAGTCAGTGTCTTGAACTAAAGTATATGAATCTTGGCTACCTCTTATTTCTGAGTGTATTCCCTACTTTCTACGAGTGTATCGCTAATGTTTAAAAATGATGTGGCCACTTTATGACTTTCAAGTCTGTTGTCCCTGAGTATAATAGCTTCTCACAGTTGCTCCCAGGAAGACAAGAAAGGCCAGATGCCAACAGGACCCTGTCAGCCATCTTCCATACCTTCAGTCTTAGATGTGATTATACAGATGGCATTAGAATAGGGTTCATCACTAACAGAAAACAAAACAGATGCACAGAGGGATCATTCAAAAGTGGCAACAGTACTTTAGATTCCCTGTCTGCTAATTTAATGTAGATTACAAGCTGCAAAGACAATGAGCCAATGCTTTTATTTTGTAGTTCAGAGACTTTGTCTTAGCCAGGGTCCTGGAAGGAAACAACACATCAAAGAGTTTAATTAAAGAGAGTTCAGTAAAAGGACAATTTACAGAGATGAATCAGAGTTGATGGAAATGACACAAGAGATCATCTGGTGTACGGGAATTTGCAATAGTGGGAGGCTGCTACTATCCATTGTTCTATAGCTGAAAGGAATGGAATGTATGAGAAATCCTAGAGGGAGCTATAAGCATAGAAGAGGGGCTCAGAGACCAGCTGTGGCTGCAGAAAAATACAGCCACTGCTAAAACTATAGCCCAACAGAGAGGCAATAGGAATAAATATCCCATCTCTCACTCCTCTTACCCTATTGATACTCCAATTGGTGAAACCCAAATAGTAGCTAGACAACAAAGACATCTGGTGACACAGCCTGTAGAAGTCAGCCTTCTAAAGCACAGAACAGTGGAGAGAAGGTCAAGTAATGTATCTAAAGGTAAAAATGGGGAGTGGCCAGCCAGTCTACCCCTTTTGTCATTCAGATTCCATTCTCATCCTTTTATTTAGAGAAAGTCTAGCATTTGAAGCACAAACTCATAAATGTCAATTTGCTATTGTCCTACCAATGACTTGTTCTCCATCCAGTACCACCAATGGTGATTATAATATTTGTTGCCACTACATGACCATCAATTACCAACCACAAGGGGATTGTCTGTGTACCCATCCAGTAAATACAACAAAATCCAGAAATCCATTTGAGAGTTTGGGTCTTATGTCCAAACCTGATACAAATTATTTTATCTTTCATTATCATAAATTCATATTCAAAAATTTAAAGAGACAACAGGTTGAAGATTCCTTATCCAAAAAACTTGGAATCAAGTTTCAGATTTCAAATTTTGAATTTTGGAATATTTGCATATACACAATGAGATATTTTGAGACTCGGACTCCAGTCTAAACACAAAACTTATTTGTTTTATATACACCTTACACATACAGGCTGAAACTAATTTTATGTAATATTTAAAATATTTTTTGCGCATAAAACAAAGTTTTGACTGTGTTTCGACTACAACCTATCACGTAAGGTCAGGTGTGGAATTTTCCACTTGTGTCTTCACTTCAGCACTCAAAAAGTTTAGGATTTTGGTGCATTTTGGAATTTTAGATTAGGTATGTTTAACTTGTGTAACAAAAGGACAATTTTCAGATGTGTGGACATGGCTAAGGAGCTGATGAGGAACAATAAAGGTCTCAGGGTCTAGGAACTTCATGACTTTTAGTAAAACTCTTCCTAATGGGCGAGGGGAAGAAACAGTGATTCAGAGTGTGATGTGACTGGAAACTCTCACAAAGACTAAGTCTTAGGTAGATGAAACAGCCACCAACAAAAGTGTGATCTGATATAGAGGGAGCAAGGAAGATAAATACCCAACCTCTCTACTTTCCCACCTTTTGTCAGTGCATATTACTGACCAAACCAAAAGGAAGCCAGAAGTCAAGAGAGCCTGTATATTGCCTTTTAATAGAATTTATTCTCACACGATGCAGAGAAGAGCAGAAAAGAATGGACAATAAAATCAAGATTGTCATAAGGTGAAAACTAGCACTGTCATTAATTTGGGTCTCTTCTACGTTAGAAGTTAATCAGTGATGTCTCTAATAGGAAGTTAAAAATCATTATAAACGTTTGGAACAGGAAAATCTTATCACATAATTAGATAGCACACTGGGTCCCAAGGGACATTGATGAGGTTTCTCTTTTCTTTCAAATATAAAATTGCCTGATTTCCAATGCCTCTATTTCATTGAGACTCCATGATGCAAATCAAAATGAGTTAAAATATGGTTATCTATTTAGTCATTAGATATACATTTAATAAATTTCTTCTGTGTAACTGACACAATAAAGGCATTTAAAATTATATTTTGTAATTATTTAATAGCAAAGTTTTAATATTTCTCTTATGTCAAAGAGAAGGGAACAAAATGTTGGAGAATAAAAAAGTTGGGAAGGAATTAGAAAGGCTATTATCCAAAAATAAATCAGAGCATTCAAAATTGCATAAAAGAAAAATCTCATTTGTTTGCAGAATGACAAATCTATTCTACTTCAGTAATGGCTACAAAAGTCAGATGCTTGCTTTACTCCAGCAGGGAAACATATCCATCATGAGGCTTAACGTGCTCTTGTGTACTTTCTCGAATGCTTTGCTAACACCTGCTGATTTACCTGCAATACATTTTCCAGAAACTGTTGAGTAAAATGACAACATATATATTGAGTTTCACACTTCAGTCTCTCCAATTAACAGTGTTTGCAGTACCAGCTGTGAGCCCAGGAGAGGATTTAATGTTAAGTACAGCGGTCTAGTTAACAACAACAAAAAAGCTGAGCCATGAATATGCCGAATGTTTGTTTCTTATCATTTGTTTCTGAGAAATAGCTCTCTATTGCAGTTATTCAAACTTGCTCACAGAACTAGCTCCTGACATTATATACAGGAGTGGCATGAGACAGGCTGCTGTGGTAGGCACAATTAAAATGTATAGTTACTAAGAAACCTTAGCAGAGCCCCTGTCCTCACCTGTTCACTTATCAAAACAATACAAGTCCTTCTGTGCTCAGTTTCAATGACTATAAAGTGAGATTAAAGAGTTTTGAAAACAGCGGTCATATACAACACCAAGCCATGCAAAAAGGAAGAAGAAAAATAAATTTACTTACATACAAAGAGAACTAACCTTGTAGATTTTCTCTTTTTAACTCAATATCTAGGCAATAATTGAATATTTACTGCTATTTAGGGGACTGTAGCTGTAGGCAAAAGATAGGAACAGGGACAGTACTATTAATAGGTTTGTATCAACTTAAAGATACCAAAAGAGTGTATAAAGTCTAGTCTTATTTAAGAGGTGATTAGAAAATTATTTATTCTAATATAGACCAGTGAGATGGGGCTGCAGTGAGCTGAGATCATGCCACTGTACTCCAACCTGGGCCACAGAGTGAGACCCTTTCTCAAAAAAAGAAAAAAAATTTAAAACTATAAAAACCCTAGGAAAAAAACCTTAGGAAGAACCCTTCTTGGCACTGGCCTGGACAAATAATTTCTAACTAAGACCTGAAAAGCAAATGCAACAAAACCAAAAATAGACAAATGGGACCTAATTAAACTAAACAGCTTTTTGCACAGCAAAAGAATCAACAGAATAAATGAACAACCTACAGAATGGGAGAAAATATTTGAAAACTATGCATTGGACAAAGGACTAATATCCAGCATCTATAAGGAACTTAAGTCAATAGGATAAAAACAAATAATCCCATTAAAAAGTGGGCAAAGTGCATGAACAGACACTTCTCAAAAGAAGACTTACAACCAGCCAACAAACATGAAAAAATGTTTAACGTCACTAATGATCAGAAATGCAAAGTAAAACCACAGTGACATACCATCTTATACCAGTTAGAATGGCTATTAAAAAGTCAAGAAATAATATATGTTGGTGAGGATATGGAGAAAAGGGAATGCTTATATGCTGTTGGTGAGAATATTAATTAGTTCAATCCCTATGGAAATCAGTATAAAGATTTCTCAGAGAACTAAAATTAGAACTAACATTCACCCAGCAATCCCACTATTTAGGAAAATAGATCCTTTTATCAAAAAGACACTTGTATTCACACGTCTATTGCTCGACTATACACAATAGCAAAGTCACGGAATCAACCTAAGTGTTGATCAGTGTTCAATCGGGTAAAGAGAATATTGTATGTATACACCATAGAATACTACACAGCAATAAAAAAGAATGAAATCTTGTCATTTGCAGCAACGTGGTTGGAGCCGGAGGCCATTATCCTAAGGAAAATAACTCAGAAACAGGAAATCAAATGCTGCATGTTCTCACTTATAAGTGGGAGCTAAAAAATGGGTACACATGGATAAAAAGATGGAAATAATAGACATTGGGGACTCCAAAATGGGGGAGGATGGAGGATGTGGGCAGCAGTTGAAATACTTCACAATGGGTACTATGTTCACTGTTTCTGTAATAGGTTCACTGGAATCCCAAATCTCAGCATTCTGCAATATATCCATATAACCAACTTGCATATGTACCCCCAAACGTAAAATGAAACAAATAGTCTTACAAACCAAATCAACAACAACAAAAGCCAAACAAATTACAAGGAAAAAAACCCCACAAAGCTGTAGTTATGGCTTATAGAACAGGAGGTAAGTGAGTCAGTGTCTTGCAGTGGATGAGCTGCAATTATTTTACTATTCCTTATCTCGAGGCCAGTGCTTGTTTAGCTGCCAGAGAAAAAGAAAAATCATCGGGCCAGTTAGAACATAGTTTATCCTTTAAGTGCAGGGGTGTATGACTTAACCCTTGCCTGGCATAATCTTAAGTCTTGTTTATAATTTGGTATCTTATTGCCACAAAGACTCCATTCTGTCAGTCTTTTGGTCTCTATTTGAACACGAATGCTGGTCACTGTTGTGTCTAAACCATAATGGACATATGTCCGACCTTGAGACGTATGAAGGAGGATAATGGAGTACGTCTGACCTCCCAACTTGTCATGCCCAGGAATTTAGTTTTTAAGATCTCTCTGGAGCACACTTGGCCAAGAAATTGTCCATTCAGTTAGTTGGGTGGCTTAGGATTTTAGTTTTAGCTCTCACCCCTAAATGTTAACATATATACCTCAGTAGGAAGGTGGCAGGGTAAGAGCTAGAGAATCTATGCCACTCTGTAACAAGGGAAACTTCCTGGTCAGGGAAGGGGCCTTGCTATGCGTGGTGAGACTCCAGTGCCCAATGTGGTCTCTAAATCCATTCTTTTGCTGAGATAACTCATATCTGTTAAGTTAGAAAAAGTCTTTGGGCCAATTTTAGAATACATGTATTTCCTACAAAATTCTCTTTCAGGATTTTACTTTATTAGTAGCACAGAATTGAACAATTCTTTTCATGCATTGGAAGACTCAATATTCTAAAGATGTCAAGTAGCCCCAAATTGATCTTTAGATTAAATGCAAAACCAAGTAAAATCTCAGAATTATCGTATAGAAAATGACGAGCAAATTCTAAATTTTAAGAAAATGGAAGGATCAATGATATCCAAGGCAATCATAAATTTTAAAAGTTGGGGACGTACACTAACACTTGTTGATTTATATTTCAAAGCCATAGATATTAAGGCATTGTGATATTGACACAGCGCAGACGAATAGATCCATGGAGCATTATAAAGGTTCTAGAAATAGGCATACATATATTGCCAAGGAATAATTTATGACAAGCATATCACTGCAGTGTAATATAAAAAGTCCATTCTTCTTAGTAAATGGCACCAGATAGTCATTTTGAAAACAATGTATGTTGCCACTATCTCATAAAATACAAGAAATTAAACTCCAGATACAGTATATATCTAAATTTAAAGGTGAAATAATAAAGCTTTTTGAAGTAAATACAGGTGACTAGCTTCATTGCACTGGACTAGACAAAGACACTATAAATAGGATACAGCAATCACTAACCATAAAGAAAAAAAATTCCAAAAGTTGAAAAAACAAGCCAGAGTAGAAGACATTTTCAATACGTATATCTAATAAAAGACTTGTGATTGTTCCTTCCTGCCTGTTCTACAGATTTCAGACTTCTTCAGCCAGCCCCCCAAATTACAAAATCATATCCTACTGATTCTGCTTCTCTAGCTGAACCTTGAATGATACAGAATTAGTTGTCTATTGCTATGTAAAAAATTACCACATATGCAGTAACTTTAAACAACACCCATTTACTATCTCACAGTTTCCATGGTTCAGAATCCCAGGCACAGTCTCATTGGGTCCTCTGCTCAGGATCTCACAAGGCTGTAATCAAGGTGTTGGCTAGGCTGCATGCCCTTACAGACCTCAGGGTTCTCTTCTAAGATCACCTGGTTGTTAGCAGAATTCAGTTATTGAATTTGTAAGATGGAGGTCCCTATCTCTTTGCTACCTATCAGCTGAGGCTCCTCTCAGTAGCTTGAGGCCACCCTTAGTTCCCTGCCACATGACTCTCTCTCAGGTCCTGGACAGCATGGTAACTTACTCCTTTAAGACCAATAGGAAAATCTCTGACCTCTAGACCCTCTTTTAAGGAATCACTTGATTGGGTCAAGCCCACCCGAAATAATATTTCTTTAAATTAACTTTATATCTGAAAAAATTCCTTGAGGTCACTGTATAATGTAACCTAATAATGAGAGTGATATCCATCATATTCACAGATATTGCCCATATTCAAGGGATAGTATTATATATAGTTTTTATGCCAGGGAGTGGAAATCTTAGGAGCCATCTTAGAGCTTTGCTGGCAACAGTCCACTCCATAGCTCTTAATAAATCACTTCCTTCACACTTGCAAAATACATTCATATTTTCCAAAGATTCCTAAGAATTTTATGCCATTCAGCATCAGCTCAAAGTCCAAAATCTCATCATTTAAATCAGATACAAGTGAGCAAGAGGCTCCCAGATGTGAACTGTTAAGTACACCACCTGGAACTCAATTTCTGTCCATATGTACACCTGTGAAACTAAAGCACTACGTTATTTACCCTCCATGTACTTAACATAAAAAGGTAGGACAGGCATATGACGGTAGTTACAAACATTCCAGTTCAAGAGAGGGGAAAAATGGAAGGTAGAAAGGACCCACTTGTCCATAACAGTTCTGAAATCCAGCTAGAGTTCCTTGATTGGGTTTCAAAGCCTGAGAATAATTCTCCTTGGCTTTCAGTTCCTTCCTCAATCAATGCCCTTGGTTCTGCCCACTGAGTCATTCCTTTTATAGGAAAGGATGTTTTTTCAGCTGAGTACAGTAGTTTTATTAGCCTACTTCCTGCCAGTAGAATCTTGGGATTCTGACAGCCTTCTTTCATTTTATATTCTCTATCCCGTTTAGTTCAACTTGGCAGCATTTCTGCTGAAATAATTTTCTCAAGAATGGTGAGAATCTTGCATGGATTTTATTGGGTTTCACCCCATTAGACAAAAGCCACACCTACCATGTTTTTTTCCAGATAATCTTTTATCTTTGGTTCCTAATGAGATGGCTGAGAGACAGTGCTCTTAAGTTTCCTACAGGCCCTCTGGTTTGATTGAGGGTGTCTGTAAGGCGCACAGTTAATTTCTGTGAAATGACCTTTTATGTGACTGAATATTCTGACCTTTTGATCTTTCAGAAGTTGTAGTAAAAGGTTGAACAGTTACATACTCAGCCATTTCTTTATGCCACATGTTCAGCTGTCATTTCTGACTTTTACCATCTTTTGCCACCTGGAGAGGCTGAGATTTTCAAAGTTATCTGGTCCTAGTTCTTTTTGTTTAGCAGTTCTCCCCTCAATTTCTCTCTCCCTTGTCACATTTCATTACAAGGAAGAAGCCAGGTAGCAGCCTTGAGTCTTTGTTTGGAAATTTCTTTAGCCACATAATCAACTTCGTTGTTTAGAAATTCTGTTTTCCATATAACTTCACTATGTTCTCTACCAGTACATTACAAGGATCTCTTTTCTTCCAGTTTTTAATTACATGTTCCTCACTTCTTTCTGAACTCTCACCAGCAGCATTCCTATGGTCAGTAATTCCAACACTACATTCAAGGCCATTGACACATTCTTCATCATGTTCTTCAAAATTATTCTAGCCTTAACTACTGTTTAGTACTAAAACCACACCTACATTTTAAGTATTTTTTTTTTACAGCATCATTCTACTTCCTGGTACCAAAATTTGTATTCATTATCTATTTCCGCTTAACAAATTTCTACAAAATTTGTGGCTGAAAACAGTATAGTTGTATTGCTTCATAGTTTCTGTAGCTCAAGAATTTGTGCCTGGCTTAACTGGTCTTCTGCTCAGTCTCATCAACCTGAAATTGGGGTGTCAGCTGGGGCTTTGATCCCATCTGAGGGTTGGAGCACTCTTCCAAACTCCTGTGGTTAGTGGCAGAATTCATTTCCTTACAGCTCTAGAATTTATGGCAGCTTGCTTCAAAATCAGCAACCCAGAGAAAGAGAAAATCTGCTCCTTCAAATCTCTGAACTCTAGAAACTCTTTTAAAGGGCTCATCTGGTTATGCCAGGCCTGCGTGTGATAATTTCCTCTTTGATCACCTTAAAGTGATTTGGAACCTTAATAAGATCTGCTTAAATCTCTTCACCTCTGCCATACAATGTAACCTAATCACAGAAGTGACATCAATTATGTTCACAAGCTCCATGCACACTCATAGAGAGATTGTACAGTATGTGTATGTTGGGGCAGGAGTGGGAATCTTAGGGGTTATTCTAGAAGTCTCCTACAACAGTTGAGAGGGGTGCAACATTAGGCATGTGAAGGAGATGTTGGATGGTGTTATTTTCAAGACAGGAATGAATCATTTCTATTTTTTTCAAACTTTCACCATTCTCTTAATTTTTTCCAGCTTTATTGTGTTAACAAATACACACATGGTGTACACTTTGACATTTATTTCAAGTATCTCACTTATATGTGGAATCTAGAATACACCAATTCATACAAGCAGAGAGTAGAATGGTGGTTTCTAGGGGTTGTAGGGAAGTAGAAACAGATGTTGGACGAGGAGTACAAAGTTTCAGTTATGCAAGATGAATAAGCTCTGGAAGTCTAATGTACAGCAATGTGACTATAGTTAATAATAGAACATTATATACGTACTTGAAATTTGCTGTAAGGGTAGATCCTGAGTTTTCTTCCTTGTTTTATTCACTGGTAACTATTGCCTTGTCTACTGGAAAAATGCCTTGGATTCTTAAAAGGTGGGAAAGGTTCTTGTAAGATTCCTTTTTTCATTTCTCAATCAGATATATCCCTCAATAACAGAAGCATCATTCCTAAGACCCTTGTAATGGTGAATCCAGAAAGACAAAATCAGGCAGAGCAGCATAATTGGAAAACTTCCTTGCAAACCTTTTTAAGCCTTGCCAAGGTTTGAATCCTTGCCATTTGTAACTAAAACAAGAGGAACTTGGTTTCAGTTTATATGAAATAATGGCATGAAATTTGAGGTGAGACATTAGGAAACTATTAAAATGAGAATCTTCCAATAAACCAAAAGAAGCTCCACAATTTGGGTAGAACTTAAACTCATGAGGGATTATGCTTTAACAACTGCTAGTGGGAATAAGGAGCTCCACATGCATGTAAAGTTCCAATTATATAACTGACTCTTCATAAACTATTGCAACATTACAGATTCCTGTCCTGCTGTGGAGAACAGTTGTCTACTATGACCAAAAGAGAGCAAGGTTAATGACATTGACCTCAAAAATGACAAAATTTCACTAGCACAAGAAGCTGAATTTAGTCTTCACAGAAAAACTGCTAATCATTTTAAATATTTTCCTTTGCTAAATAATCTTTCCAACTTCATAGCCATTCTTAGGTTCCATAGTTGAGATTGCCAGTTAAGACTTACATAAAAATTTGTTTCAGAATCACTGGTTATTTTTCTTTTAAAAAAATAATATCTCATTGTTCAATTCCCACCTATGAGTGAGAATATGCAGTGTTTGGTTTTTTGTTCTTGCGATAGTTTACTGAGAATGATGATTTCCAATTTCATCCATGTCCCTACAAAGGACATGAACTCATCATTTTTTATGGCTGCATAGTATTCCATGGTGTGTATGTGCCACATTTTCTTAATCCAGTCTATCATTGTTGGACATTTGGGTTGGTTCCAAGTCTTCGCTATTGTGAATAATGCCGCAATAAACATACGTGTGCGTGTGTCTTTATAGCAGCATGATTTATAGTCCTTTGGGTATATACCCAGTAATGAGATGGCTGGGTCAAATGGTATTTCCAGTTCTAGATCCCTGAGGAATTGCCACACTGACTTCCACAATGGTTGAACTAGTTTACACACATGGACACAGGAAGGGGAACATCACACTCTGGGGACTGTTGTGGGGTGGGGGGAGGCGGGAGGGATAGCACTGGGAGATATACCTAATGCTAGATGACGAGTTAGTGGGTGCAGCGCACCAGCATGGCACATGTATACATATGTAACTAACCTGCACAATGTGCACATGTACCCTAAAACTTAAAAGTATAATAATAAAAAAAAAAGAAAGAAAAAAAAATTTCAACTTTTATTTTAGATTCAGGGGGTACATGTGCAGGTTTGTTACATGGGTATATTGTATGATGCTGAGATTTAGGGTATGAAATATCCCTTTACCCAGGTAGTGAGCATAGTGCCCAATAGGCAGTTTTTCAGCCTTGCCTCCCTTCCTTTTTCCTTCCTCTAGTAGTCTCCAGTGTTTATTATTCCCATCTTTATGTCGATTTGTACCCAATGCTTAGCTCCCACTTCTAAGTGAGAACATAGAGTATTTGGTTTTCTGTTTCAGTGTGAATTTGCTTAGGATGATGACCTCTGGCTCCATCTATGTCACTGCAAAGGACATGATTTCATTCTTTGTTGTGGCTGCATATAATTCTGTGATGTATATGTAGCATATTTCCTTTATCCAGTCCATCATTAATGGGCACCTAAGTTGATACACTCATATACCCATTGCAGTACTAGTCACTGCAGTGGACATACGATTGCATGGGTCTTTTTTGTAGAACAATTTATTTTCTTCTGGATATGTACCCAGTAATGGGATTGCTGGATCAAATGGTAGTTATGTTTTAAATTATTTGAGAAACCTCCAGACTGCTCTTCTCAGAGGCCAAACTACTTTACATTCCCATCAAGAGTGTGTAAGGGTTCCTTTTCTCCACTGCCCCACCAGCATCTGTTATTTTTTTTTCTTTTAGTAGTAGCCATTCTGACTGGTATGAGATAGTATTTTATTACAGTTTTGATTTGTACTTTTCTTATGATTATCACTATTGAGCATTTTTTCATAGGTGTTTTGGTTGCTTGTATGTCTTCTTTTGAGAAATGTTTTTCATGTCCTTTTCCTCTTTTTATATTAGGTTACTTGTTTTTCTTATTGAATTAAGTTCCTTATAGATTCTGGATATTAGACCCTTGTTGGATACATAGTTTGCAAATATTTTCTCCCATTGTGTGGGTTGTCTGTTTATTCTGTTGACAGTTTCTTTTGCTGTGCAAAAAGTTATTTAGTTTAATTAGCACCCACTTGTCAATTTTTTGTTGACATTGCTTTTGAGGAGTTAGTCATAAATTATTTGCTAAGCCCCGTGTCCAGAATGGTATTTCCTAGGTTAGCTTCTAGGAATTTTATAGTTTGATATCTCAGATTTAAATCTTCAATCCATCTTGAGTTGATTTTTCTACGTGGTAAAAGGTAGGGGTCCAGTTTCATTCTTCTGTATATGGCTAGCCAGTTATCCCAGCATAATTTATTGAATAGAGAGTCTATTCCCCATTGCTCTTTTTGTCATCTTTGTCAAAGATTAGATGGTTGTAGGTGTGTGGATTTGTTTTGGGATTCTCCATTTTATTCCATTTGTCTATATGTCTGTTTTTGTACCAATGCCATATTGTTTTGGTTACTGTAGCCTTACAGTATAGTTTGAAGTTGGGTAATGTGATTCCTCAACTTTGTTCTTTTTGCTTAGGATTGCTTTGGTGATTTGGATTTTTTTTTTTTTGCTCTATATGAATTCTAGATTAGTTTTTTCTAATTCTATGAAAAATAACACTGGTAATTTGACAGGAATTGTGTTGAATCTGTAAATTGCTTTGAGCGACATGACAATTTTAATGATATTGATCGTACCAATCCATGAGCATGAAATGTTTTTCCATTTGTTTGTGTCATGTCTGATGTATTTCAGCAGTGTTCTGTAGTGCTCCTTGTAAATATTTTTCATCTCCTTGGTTAGATATATTCCTAGGCATTGTATTTTTTGTGGCTATTGTAAACAAGATTGTATTCTTGATTTGGCTCTCAGCTAGAAAGTTATTGGTGTATAGAAATACTACTGATTTTTGTACATTGATTTTGTAGCCTGAAACTTTACTGTAGTGTTTATGAGGTCTAGGAGCATTTTGGCAGAGTATTTAGGGTTTTTTAGGTATGGAACCTTATTGTCAGCAAGATAAATAATTTGACTTCTTTTCCTATTTGGATGCCGTTTATTTCTTTATCTTGCCTGATCACTCTGGCTAGGACTTTCTGATTATTTTTCTTAAATGCCCATGTTTACTCTTGTCTCCATACCATATTTGTATATGTGTGCATGTGTGTATTACATATATAATATATATACACACATATATGTAATGCATGTCTGTGTGTATATATGTATTATACATATATGTGTGTGTGTGTGTATATATATTATATATATATATTTTTTTTTCACTGAATCATCCTATATTTCTCTGAAACATTGGAAATGCTATGGTTATCCACTTTTCCACAAGTCATGATGGTATAATTTTAGAACACTAGTTAAGACTATGGTATTAAGTTAAGATATGTGTATTTTTCTGCATGTGTGTTACACGTTCCATAAAAGTTTTCTAAAATCACACAAAAAAAGAATAGGCTAGCAATATGGCATGGCATAAAGCCTCCCCCCAGCCCCCACCATTACCCCCAGCTCACACACGCACATACTGTAAACAGAGAAAAGTAAGCCCTGTGTCAAATGTCATACTTTCTCAGAAGGCTGGCCAAAGGAATTGGCTTAACAGACAAGGTGTTCAGCAAAAGTGTGGCTCTAAGACTGAGCCAGTGACAAAACAAATAAATGAGAAAATAATGTGGAATCAATTTTCTATGTCCAGGCAGTATAAACCTGCAATGCCTGACCCTGGAAATAATTACATCAACCTTAGTGCCTGGTGTTCAGGGATTTGGCATGGTTCTTTCTAATTCCCAGAGTGTAACTAACTAGTGCCAAGTCAACTTCCAGTTATAAAATGCAATGAGAGAACCAGTTAATTTACTAGAACAGAAATTCAAATTAGAAATTAAAAACAAAACTATACCTTGTGGACTAATAACCCTAATCATTACAAAAAAACACTTTCTATGTTAAGTATTTTCATAGCCATTATTTTATTCAGTCCTCATAAGATTCTTTGTGGTAGACAGCTTTTGAGATGACTTACAAAGATCTTCATTTCCTTATGCCTTTGTGCTATTCCTCCCTTGTGTGTGGACGAGACCTAGTGACTTTCTCCTAACAAGTAGAATATGGCAATAGCAATTCCAAAATTAGACTACAAAAGGCTGTGACTTTTATCTTATGGCATTCTTTCTGACTCATCTCATGCACTCGCTGTGATGAAACAAAATGCCATGTTTTGAGCTACCCTATGGAGAGGCTCATGTGGCAAGGAGCTAAGAGTGGATGTCAGCCAATAGCCAGTAAGAAAGTAAAGCTCTCAATCCACATATCCTTGAGAATATCAATTTATCAAGAACCATGCGCATAATTTTGGAAACATTCAAACCTTCAAAGAAAACCATGGTCTTAACTATACATCAGTTGCAGTCTTATAAAAGACCCTGAAGCAGAAGACTCATTAAGCCATTCCCAGAGTCTAGACCTACAGAAACTGCAAGAGAATAATGTGTGTTGTTCTAAGCTCCTAAATTTTGGGGTGATTTATTATGTAACCATAGATAACATAGAGTATGTGAGTTGTTAGGTCAGTGATACCCCTGAATTTGAGCTGTTATACTTTATTGTAGGCAGTACTATTCAGGACGTACACACAGGCAATGATTTCATGACAAAGATGCCAAAAGCAATTACAACAAAGCAAAATTGACAAATGGGATCTAATTAAGGAGCTTCTACACAGCAAATGAAACTATCAATAGAGTACACAGACAACCAACAAAATGGGAGAAAATTTTTGCAAACTATGTATCTGGCAAAGGTCTAATATCCAGCATCTATAAGGAACTTACAAAACAAAAACAAAAACCAACAACTCCATTAAAAAGTGGGCAAAGGACATGAACAAGACACTTCTCAAAAGAAGACATAAATGCAGCCAACTACCATATGAAAAGCTCAAGATCACTGGTCATTAGACAAATGCAAATCAAAACCAAATGAGATACCATCTCCCACCAGTCAGAATGGCTATTATTAAAAAGTCAAAACATAACAGATGCTGGTAAGGTTATGGAGAAAAAGAAATGGTTTTACGCCGTTGGTAGGAATGTAAATTAGTTCAACTACGGTGGAAGACTGCAGACTGCTTTTAATTTGTATAATTCATTGCAACCAACCCAGATTTCCACCAATGAAAGCTATTAGTGTTCTTTATGTCAGTTATCAACAAATTGCCTCTTAGCGACAAATCCATCCTTTATTGCCTGCTTTGTGATACTGGATCCACATCCTGTAAACATAGGTCTTTTGCCAGCTGGTGTGATGTTAAACTGTAATTGTTGGTAGAGGATGCTGGAGGGACACTACAGAGGAAGGGGCTTCTCTTTCTGGTTTCGCTGTATTCCTCTTTTCTTACTGCTGCAGTGCTGATCTCTATGCAGGGCACCTGGTGATGTTTACCTCTCTGTGAGTTGCCCTGAAACCCCATAGATCTGTCAGCATCCTAGGGGGCTTTTTAGGGAGGTCAGTCTAATTTCAGCAGGTAGCTTTCTCAACAAATTCCACAAATACCACAGCCAGTTTCCCAGGAAATTTAGTGCAAATTCCACAGTAGGATTTCCAGCAAGCTCCACCAGCACCACAGCTGGCTTCCCAGCTGTCTCAGAGTTGCCCTAGTGGCAGCTTGCTAGTGACTTTCAGTGCCCTAGAAGGCAGCCTCCTGGAAAGTTTTGTCAGCACTCCAATGGGCAGTCTCCTGCTTACCAGCCTCAGCCTGTGGTGCCTCCACATAATACTCAACTATCCAGTAGGCTACAGTCACTCCTTCTCCAATGACATCTGGATCCCTACCTTAGAGTAGGGAGTGTATCTTCTAAATTTTTTTCTTCCTTGTGTGAACCCTGAAAATTTGAAACAGGTGTCAATTAATTCAGACAGTTAATTTTGCCAAGGTTGAGAACACATACTCGTGACACAGCCTCAGGAGGTCCTGAAGACATGTGCCCAAGGTGGTCAGAGCACAGCTTGGTTTTATACATTTTAGGGAGACATAAGACATCAATCAATATGTGTAAAATGAACATTGGTTTGGTCCAGAAAGGTCCAAGGGGAGGGGACTTCCAGGTCACAGGTAGGTGAGAGAAAAATGGTTGCATTCTTTTGAGCTTCTGATTAGCCTTTGCAAAGAAGGCAATCAGATATGCATTTATTTCAGTGAGCAGAAAGATGGCTTTGAGTTCTCAACTAGAATTTTCCTTTTAGCATAGTGATTTGGGGGCCCAAGATATTTTCCTTTCACACTTGGGTACTCTGCATCAGCCCTAAGTATAAGTTGGCTCCCCATATCTGCTTTTCCTATGATTTTTAGAACTATCTTTAACACTTACTAGTTAATCGTGAGTTAGTGCTGAGATAATTGATTAATAATTCTTTTTTTATTATTATTTTTTGAGGCAAAGTTTCACTCTTGTTGCCCAGGCTGGAGGGCAATGGTGCGATCTCAGCTCACCACAACCTCCGCCTCCCAGTTTCAAGCGATTCTCCTGCCTCAGCCTCCCGAGTAGCTGGGATTACAGGTGCCTGCCACCACGCCCAGCTAATTTTTTGTATTTTTAGTAAAGATGGGGTTTCACTATGTTGGCCAGGCTCATTCTTTACATAAAATGTTCTGTTCAAATTAATTTGTGGTCTCTGTTTCCTGCCTAAACCCCAAATGATACAACATTCAATTTATTTATTTATTTATTTATTTATTTATTTTTATTTTATTATTATTATACTTTAAGTTTTAGGGTACATGTGCACAATATGCAGGTTTGTTACATATGTATACATGTGCCATGCTGGTGTGCTGCACCCATTAACTCGTCATTTAGCATTAGGCATATCTCCTAATGCTATCCCTCCCCCCTCCCTCCACCCCACAACAGTCCCCAGAGTGTGATGTTCCCCTTCCTGTGTCCATGTGATCTCATTGTTCAATTCCCACGTATGAGTGAGAATATGCGGTGTTTGGTTTTTTGTTCTTGCGATAGTTTACTGAGAATGATGATTTCCAATTTCATCCATGTCCCTACAAAGGACATGAACTCATCATTTTTTATGGCTGCATAGTATTCCATGGTGTATATGTGCCACATTTTCTTAATCCAGTCTATCGTTGTTGGACATTTGGGTTGGTTCCAAGTCTTTGCTATTGTGAATAGTGCCGCAATAAACATACGTGTGCATGTGTTTTTACAGCAGCATGATTTATAGTCCTTTGGGTATATACCCAGTAATGGGATGGCTGGGTCAAATGATATTTCTAGTTCTAGATCCCTCAGGAATGGCCACACTGACTTCCACAATGGTTGAACTAGTTTACAGTCCCACCAACAGTGTAAAAGTGTTCCTATTTCTCCACATCCTCTCCAGCACCTGTTGTTTCCTGACTTTTTAATGATTGCCATTCTAACTGGTGTGAGATGGTATCTCATTGTGGTTTTGATTTACATTTCTCTGATGGCCAGTGATGATGAGCATTTTTTCATGTGTCTTTTGGCTGCATAAATGTCTTCTTTTGAGAAGTGTCTGTTCATGTCCTTTGCCCACTTTTTGATGGGGTTGTTTGTTTTTTTCTTGTAAATTTGTTTGAGTTCATTGTAGATTCTGGATATTAGCCCTTTATCAGATGAGTAGGTTGTGAAAATCTTCTCCCATTTTGTAGGATGCCTGTTCACTCTGATGGTAGTTTCTTTTGCTGTGCAGAAGCTCTTTAGTTTAATTAGATCCCATTTGTCAATTTTGTCTTTTATTGCCATTGCTTTTGGTGTTTTAGACATGAAGTCCTTGCCCATGCCTATGTCCTGAATGGTAATGCCTAGGTTTTCTTCTAGGGTTTTTATGGTTTTAGGTCTAACATGTAAGTCTTTAATCCATCTTGAATTAATTTTTGTATAAGGTGTAAGGAAGGGATTCAGTTTCAGCTTTCTACATATGGCTAGCCAGTTTTCCCAGCACCATTTATTAAATAGGGAATCCTTTCCCCATTGCTTGTTTTTCTCAGGTTTGTCAAAGATCAGATAGTTGTAGATACGCGGCGTTATTTCTGAGGGCTCTGTTCTGTTCCATTGACTATATCTCTGTTTTGGTACCAGTACCATGCTGTTTTGGTTACTGTAGCCTTGTAGTATAGTTTGAAGTCAGGTAGTGTGATGCCTCCAGCTTTGTTCTTTTGGCTTAGGATTGACTTGGTGATGCGGGCTCTTTTTTGGTTCCATATGAACTTTAAAGTAGTTTTTTCCAATTCTGTGAAGAAAGTCATTGGTAGCTTGATGGGGATGGCATTGAATCTATAAATTACCTTGGGCAGAATGGCCATTTCCACGATATTGATTCTTCCTACCCATGAGCATGGAATGGTCTTCCATTTGTTTGTATCCTCTTTTATTTCATTGAGTAGTGCTTTGTAGTTCTCCTTGAAGAAGTCCTTCACGTCCCTTGTAAGTTGGATTCCTAAGTATTTTATTCTCTTTGAAGCAATTGTGAATGGGAGTTCACTCATGATTGGGCTCTCTGTTTGTCTGTTATTGGTGTATAAGAATTCTTGTGATTTTTGTACATTGATTTTGTATCCTGAGACTTTGCTGAAGTTGCTTATCAGCTTAAGGAGATTTTGGGCTGAGACAATGGGGTTTTCTCGATATACAATCATGTCATCTGCAAAGAGGGACAATTTGACTTCCTCTTTTCCTAATTGAATACCCTTTATTTCCTTCTCCTGCCTAATTGCCCTGGCCAGAACTTCCAACACTATGTTGAATAGGAGTGGTGAGAGAGGGTATCCCTGTCTTGTGCCAGTTTTCAATTTAAAAAGTTGTAAAAATAGTTTTGTTAACAATGTGGTGTATTTCATCCATGTATTTAAAAATCTGATTTTTTTTTATTTTATTTAAGAATGTTTCTTAACAAATTGCTGAGGACACATCTACTTGTTATACGACCAACAGGTTCATGTGTCCACTGCACAGTAACAGACCACTGACACAGACAGCAGGGATGCAGCAGAGACAGAGTTTAATTTTTGCAGGGCGCCAAGCAAGGAGATGGGAGGACATCCTCAAACCCATCTCCTCGAGGAGTTCTTGGCTGGGATTTTTAAGGGGATCATTGAGGGTGAAGGATTGGAAAATTGGGGTTGTTGATTGGTCAGGGCAAGGAGGGTGATATCATCACGATATAGAAACTGCATTCTTTAGTGAGTCCACTTCTCGTGGGGACCCTCAGATCAGCTGAGTCAGTGGTATCCTTCAGACCAGCTGGCACCACTGGGGTCTTACAGACAAGCTGGTGTAGTAATTCCATCAGTATGCAGGACCTGAAAAAATATATCAAAGGGAAAACTTAATGTTTCATAATTTTCAAGTTGTTGTCTATAGAGCAGTTAAGGAGAAGTAGAGGGGCTACATGATGCTGGGATAACAGGTACCACACAACTATGAGGAAGCAGGTCAGAGTGAGCTGACTTCATGATTCATGCTGAATGCGCTGCAAGTTTGGTTTATTTCCATTTTTCCCCATCGCTTCTTCCCTGATTCATTTTATAAAGTTTATGGGGTGTTTTAAAATTTGTTTGGCTAAAATTCTGCCCAAATTATTTGTGTAAATTTAAGGGAAAAAAAAGAATCTGTAAAAAGTAAGTCTTATTAAAAGAAAAGAAGCAGGTAAAACTTTTATTTTCACTTTGAGGACAGTAGCAGTATAATACATATTAATGTACTTCCTATAAAAAGATAATTTTAAAGTAATTAGGCATGATGCTTCCCTTGCTGCAATGATCTTTACCAAGAAGATGTTGAAAGCAAGAATAAGATTAATTATATATTTCAAGAAAGGCTGTTTATTTTTGAAATATACTTTTAAAATCTTAATTTGTTATTCTATACATTACCTCTGGGCCATAGCTGTTTCCCCACACCCCCAAATTAGAAGAATGGGATGCAGCATCTGGCTCCTACTAGGCACTCAGCAAATCTTTGTGAACTGCATGCTTGATGCATTTCTATTGTCTGTTGGTTAGTTTGGTAACTGATATTTGAACTGAAAGTACAAGTAATCTGCTTGTCGTGATTTTGACAATTTTATCCTGGCATAAGTAGGATTTGAAACAGAAAGGCCATGTGGTAGTGTAGAGCAGTATTTACTGCCAATTATGCTCCCTGGATATCTGTGCTTTTTATACTTCCTATCCTCTCTCTCTCCTTCTAGTTTAGAATACTGCCTGGGTGATAACTGTCCCAGAAACTACACCTGTAGATTTAATGGGAAGATCCATTCTGTACGGACTATGTCCTAGGTGTTTCACATGTTCTCTAATTTTACCTGCACTTCCTGGTGGACAGATATCATTGCCATCATTTTACAGATGAAAGAAATGAAGCCCAGTGAGAGTACATGACTTATTCAAAGTCGCATTCCTAATTAATAACAGAGCTAGGAACTGATGACAGCTCTTTTGACTCAAAATCTAATAATCTTTTCCATTGGTCTGCACTGACTCTAATTGAACCGTGGAAACTGGAATCCAACATGTGGGACTTTGGGGGTTTACTTATGTATTTATTTTTAATATGTCCAACCCAGCCATCCACCTAATAAAGAAATACTGTCTGCAGTATTCCTGACTAGTAGCCTCTCTTTGAACTTCCCAGGGATGAAGGAGACTATTATTTCACAAGTTTACTTTTTATACCCTTGAAATGATCAGGAAGTTCTTATATACAGATATAAGAACAGATATAAATACAGATACACATACACACACACACAGAGAGAGAGAGAGAGAGAGAGAGAGAGAGATTCACAATCTTTCTTCTTACTAACTTCAACTCATTTGTTGTGACTGTGTTCTCCAGAGACACACAGAACAAGTATGCTCTCTCTTCCACAGAGGGCTTCAGCAGAAAGGAATATTTTGTTAATTAAAATTTAGATTGGTGCAAAAGCAATTGCAGTTTTTTCCATTGAAAGTGATGGCCAAAACTGCAATGACTTTTGCACCAACCTAATATTTATGACATTTGTTAAAGAGATAAGAAAGATTTTATTCAAGGGGACTACTACAGTGAAGTTTAGTAGTAGAGAAGAGATCAGGGTCAACACAGAATACAACAAGGAAAAGTAGGAATTTATAGCCAAAGAGTAGAGCTGAAGTCGTTGGAAGAAAAATTACTCAGGGTTACTCAGGGGAAACGTCAGGGGTAAGGATTCTGGCTAAATTGACCAAATAATATTCTTACTGAAGCTAGGCCAGAGTGACAGACATCACCTAGGGGATAAGGTGAGGTGAGGAATCTGATTAGATATTGAAGGTGGTCACTTACCAATAGGATTCAGGATTTTAACTAAACTGACTTAGCAGGATTCTTGCTAAAATTGGTCAGTGTAGAAATGAACATGGGGGCCCAGATGTCAGGATCTGCTTGAGAAGAGACTTCAGAAAAAGACTGATTCAAATTTGGTCAAGGAGCGAATCTTTGTTAGTCCCTCCATCTTATTCAAAGAAAGAATATATATTTTTCTTTTCTGTGAAGAATATAAGCCCATTTTTTCATTCAGTCACCTCCAGTTTATTAAGAAGTAGATGAATCATCTGATAGGAATTGGTAATAAAGGTACTTGCTGGATGGCATGAGCAGTCAGGCATTTAATGAGGAAAGTTTCTATGAAAATTTAAAAAAAAAAAAGATTAATACTTAGAAACGCAGTTTCTGAGGCCAGAGGGAAGCCAGTCTAGATTTCTATTGATAGGTGATGGGCTGGAAGCCTCTTTAGATGGTGGAGTGAGGATGGAAGAGGTAACCCACTGAATTTCCTGGTTTGTAGTTCGAATGTCCTTGGTGATGCCATTGGAGGTTCCAGTGAACTTTTTAAATGGTCCACACAGCAACAGGCACCAAGGTTGCCCATCTATGATCTATCATGATGATTTCTATGGAGTTTATTTCATTTCAAGTCAATCAGCTTCAACTTTCAAGGCTTAAGGAAAAAGGAAATTTTAGTTCTCAGGGTTGCCAAATCAGGACGGTAGGAAAAAAAATTGGAAGTGTTAGTTTGAAGAGTCGTAGCCAGATATTGGAGGAAACTAGAAGAATTGAGACTTCACAGTGGTATGGTATAGTTTCTGCTGGGGGAAAAATTCTCTGTCTGGTGTCCCTCCTTTTTGATCAACTATAACCAAAGTAAGATTCTTTTTATTTACAAATAAGTCTGATCTCATTAGATGTAGCCTAATTATTGACATAAGGATGATAAGAATGGTAATTGCCCACATAGGCCTTCTGAATTTGCTTTGCTAGAAATTTTCATAAAGAATCTCACATTAGCCTTTTAGAAACCACTTAAATTTAAGAAGCCAAGCCAAGAACTTATCACCAGATTTCACTTGCAGTACCTATAGATCTGGATAAATTCCTCCCTTCTCAAGGTCCTCAAGACATTCTGAGTATCCTTGTCTTGCCAGGAAGTGACCTTCATTACTCATCTGTAAGGCTGAGAACCCTATAAGCCAGTTATTAGTCTGGTTTTCCAAGAGAACTTTGTATATTTTGGCTCCATAAAGTCAACTTTAGTTCCTTAAATCAGATTCTATGCACATTCTCATTCTCAAATGTGACATTCCTGTCAAAAGCCTTCGTTATATAATCAGTGTTTCCAATTATGTCCTGCTATAAGGAGAATATGTTCTTATTGTGCTTATGCAACTAACTATATTGCCATGAAAATAAAAATATTCAAAAACAGTTTCTAAATTTTGGAGGGATAAGATGGGAAGAAAAAAATAAACATTTCCTTTTTGACTGCAAGCACTTTTGGAAAGCGTCAGAATAAATAAAACAAAAACTATTTGTGAATGCCAAAAAAGTCTTAAAATGGCCATGGCTTAAAATTTTATAGAGTTTATTTAACAAGAAAATGTGGTTGTTTCTGTGAAATATAATATCTTAAAGTAATAACCAGATTTGTGACTGATAGCATGATATTGAATGTATCTTAACAACAAGAGTGCTGACAAATTTCCCTAAACTTCAGACAATTTCTGAAATACTTATTTTAATAGTGCTTATCCATACAAATGAACATAGGGAAGATTAAACATCTTTTCTCATTTGCCGATGCCTTTTATGCAATTTAACGTATCAAATAAAGTGAATCGTTTTTAACATTTTTCTGAAAAGTGAAAGAATAAATCCACTGAAGACCTATGGGAAATTTCAAAGTCCGTTCAAGAACAAGAGGATTTCATTTAAGATTTGATTTTAGGAAGGCAATATATTCAAAAATATTTTCAAAAAACTTTACTGCTTTAAAAAGTATGAAGTCTCAGCCTTCTCAACTAAGGACATGATAAAGGTTAACATAAAGCACAGGAAATTATTCTAATAAGACACAGAATCTTGGTTTCCTAAGCAAGTTACTAAAAATGGAAAAACCCTTTTACAGTCTCTTATTAAGAGACCAATAATCAAAGAAAACATTTTCATTTTAACAAAGAGAAAAACAAATCCGGGTTTTGCATTAGTATACTTTTGATGTCAAGACTCATTCAGAAAAAAAGACATAAATCCAAATCTTAGCTAGCTTGACTACTTGAGATCTCTTTTCTGTAAATTTTTTACAACTTTCTTATATCCATCCAGGTGATTTTGTTTGTGTGTGTTTGTTTACTACATTTTCCTCTTTCTTGTTCTGGTTCTACTTTAGGTTCTACTGGGTTCTACTTTCATGTAAAATTACTTTTTTTTTCTTGAACAAAAGCACATTCTTCAAACCTCATACTTTTCCTGCAAAGTTTATTTTCACCCTTATTATTTCTAATAGCTTTAATTAAATATGTTGATTAAATTTCTTTTTTTTTTTTTTTTTTTTTTTTTTTGAGACGGAGTCTCGCTGTCGCCCAGGCTGGAGTGCAGTGGCGCAATCTCGGCTCACTGCAGGCTCCGCCCCCTGGGGTTCACGCCATTCTCCTGCCTCAGCCTCCCGAGTAGCTAGGACTACAGGCGCCCGCCACCTTGCCCGGCTAATTTTTTGTATTTTTAGTAGAGACGGGGTTTCACCGTGTTAGCCAGGATGGTCTCGATCTCCTGACCTCGTGATCCGCCCGCCTCGGCCTCCCAAAGTGCTGGGATTACAGGCGTGAGCCACCGCGCCCGGCGTTGATTAAATTTCTTAACCATCACTAACTTTTACAGAAAAAACTAGGAAGGAGACCATTTTGAATTATCTCTCACATACCAGTGTTCTGTAGCAGGCTAGAAAATTTTATGAATATGTCATTTCACAATTTTATAAGTACCTTCTACTTTGTATGCAATATTTCAATGTGGCAAAAAGAACGTGTAGTAACAGACTCAAATGAATTTTGTGTCTCTATATCATATAAAAATAAGATGCCCAAAGTCTATAAACTTAAACTGGTGCTTACTAGTGAATGTTTCCATAGTTTATCTTACTTAGAAATTATTAACCAATGTCTATTACTTTGCTTAGCCTAGCATAACTAAGGTTCCTGAAAACTAAAAATGGTTTTGAAAACTGTTTTCAGGCAGACATACTATAGCACCAAACAATGCTAACCATTGTCTCAAGTTATTTTCCTTTTTTAACCTTATTTGTCTAGTAAACCCAAATAGACTATAAATGCATGCTTGTATTATACTTAGTTCTAATAACTCAGAAGACATAGCTATTTTTTAAACAACAATATGAAATTAATCCTACTTACCAAAGTTATACTCAACCCATGCACATTTGGAAAACACCTAGTTTATTCCTGTATTTCTGAGAGTTTAAGAAATTTTTATGTAAGTGTTCATCTCTAAGCCAATTTGAATAGAACTCCATTAAGTGATTTTATAATTTGAAAACATCATCCAGAGGTAGGAAAAGTATCACGTGTACATAACATACATACAGATACATACAGATGAGTGCAAACAGAGATAGCTTGTATTCTAAAATTTTATCCATGAATCAAGTGACACTTGTTTATCTATACCTTACATTTTATATGAATTGTATGAATTTTATATGTATATGAATTACATTTCTGACAAAAAATGGGACAAGTTTACCTACTCAATAATGGATAAAGCCTGTTTATCTTTTTAAACTGATATCCATGGAGAAGGCTTTTAAGATTTTCTTTTGCCCAGATACATATTCATATAGATGCTATAGGCTATTGAAGAGACAAAAAACAACTGTCTAGAGGTCTTCAAAGCCCATCTGAGTTCACAAAATACCCGGTTCATTTATAATTAGCCTTTTTCCTTTTCAGCCTCAGGTAGCTGCCTTTGAGGATACCCTGAGCCTCTTGAGAGTTTCTGATGAGGTCAAGGGACCTAATGTTCAAGTGACTGGAGGAAGCTTAGGAAAGGAAAAGCCTAACAGGTGTGGACAGAAGTTTGAGGAGTAGGGACTTGAAGTGGGACATGTCAGAGGTATCAAGGAAACTGAAAAGAAGAGAGAAGGTGGTAAGAGGAGGAGGGAGGAGAGGAGGTGATGATAAGGGAGAGGTTTCAGAGGAGCCAATTTGGCAAGATCTTAGGTTTCTCAAAGAGGCCATTGAAATACCAAATTATCAAGAGCAAAATTATGCCAACAAGAAAGTGAGCAGATTGGCAGAGTACATAGTCAGCAGGAGTTTGTGGGCAGGGGGGCAGTTATTTTACCAAGAAGTTTCCATAGTAGAGGCAGGATCAAAGAGAGAAAATAGAGAGGACTCAGAAACAGCCTCTCTATTCTATATTCTAAAAAATTCTCCATCCCAGAAGTCAGGGAATGGATCATTCCAATTTTAAATGAGGTTTCAGAAAGGATGAATTTCCAGATCAGAAGATACTTTCAAACAAAGAAAACCAGGCCTCCAACCCAGCTTCAGAGAGTATACTGAGAATCTTAAGAATTAAAATCTGACCTTCCCAGTTCCATCAGATGTTTATCCAGAGCTATGGTTCAGGAATCTGACTCACTCAATGGATCCCTAATCAATTGATCACAAGAAGACGAAGGCTTCAGTGAGAATGTACACTTAAGGTCCCGAGTGACAGGTTCTGTGGGTCCATTCTGATGCTATTCAAGTTGTAGCACCATAACTGTTAAAGAAAAAATTATTCATGACACTTGTTAAAGAAAGTAGGGAAGACTTTTTTTCAAGAGTGAGGAGGACTACCATGGGTTTTTGTGGTAGAAAAGAGAAATCAGGCTAAACTCTGAATACAACAAGGAATAGTGGGAATTTATAGCTAAGAAGTAGGGTGAGGGTCAGTGGATGGAAATTACTAAGAGGAAACATCAAGGTAAGGAGAGATTCTGGCTAAAATAACAAGATTCTTGCTGAAGACCGATCAGCGTGATCAGGCATGACCTAGGGGATGATGGGGATAAGGAATTTAATCAGGTTCAGGGATTGATCAGATATCAAGGATGGGGTATTCTGGCTAAATCGGCTTAGTGGAATTCTTGCTAAAATTGAGCAAGGCAGAGACAAACACCTAAGCCCAAAACTCAGGGCCTAGTTAAGAAGAGAGTTCAGAGGATCCTGATTAGAGGTTGGTCAAAGAGTGAGTCTTTGTCAGTTTCTCTGTGTCTGGTATGACCTGCTCTCCACTTTATTTAATTCGGATTTAAAGAAGACTCTCGTGCTCTCAGTAGTCATCAATATTAGTTATTATTGCTGCTGGGAGGTGTATAAGCCTTCTAATCCTCATTCTTTGCCTGAAAATACTACACATTTATACATTATGTTATGTGCTTCACTGAAAATAGATGATGATTATTGATTCACTGGAAACCCCCACCACAGAACTCTTTCATCTAGGCTCATAAACATCAGTGTGTTCTTACCTGGCTATGTTTCCAGGCAGCACTGAAAGGATCGGAGGTGAACAGAAGTCATCATGGAACCTTTCCATAAAACCAACTGGGGGTTTTATTCCCTAGCCAAACAATGGAGTAATAGCATGTTTGTCAAACCTGAATGTTTCACTTGTATTCAAACAGAGATAAAACAAAATATTCCACTCATTCTAAGAATATATTGGTGAAAAAGAAGTTTCTACTCAAATTAGCCAACAATCTCAATGAAGTTACTTCAGAAGAAAAAGAAAACTGCCATGTTGGAACATTAGTAAAATGTCTTTGGTACCGTGAGTGATAAAGGACTTATTGTGGACTAAGAGTACTGTATGAAAATATCCCACTCTGATACTTTAAGTGTTGTCCTGAAGGGAGATCATAGATTTTATAACAGCTTCTAATTTCTAAACTGAAGTCAATGAGAGTTTATTCTGGGCAAAGTTTATCAGGTTAAGCTGAAGGACAGTTTCCACAACTGGGAACAATATGATTTTCTTACCTGATGAAGAGATATCCATAAAATATAAAGGAAGGTGGTTTCAGTGATAAATATCAGAAATCAGCTGCTATGGGATTGCCTGAATCTTTTACCTCTTTAATTCAATTGCCAGAAGCCCATGTTTTCCATTAGGGACAGATACATTAGAAAGTAGAGTCCTAGGGGTTTCTCACCCTGCTGTACTTATTTCATTACAATCTGGTTTCTAAAACTGTTATTCCAGGTACGTTCCCACCAAATGTCCCCTCGGTTTTCATAACTGAGGTTTCTTCATTCACTTTCTTTCTTACCATATAGTAACTAGAAGGAAATCTATAGGGTTTCTTAAGTCTTTCTCTTAGACATGAAAATTATCCTCTTGGGAATGTGTTGGTTTTGACAGCAATGTTCTTCTTTCTCCTTTGGAGTATAAACTCAGACTGCTTCCTTCTCTTCATTTCATTTACCCTCCCTACCTTATCTTTTGACCCTGTTCTTAACCAAAACTGCTTCCAGAGCGAAATGCTCCTGTCTCCCAGCATCTTCTTACTTTGTGACCTGAAAATAATTACAAAAATGTATTCATTTTAGGGTTTTATTGATGAGCAGAGTGGTGAAATGGATTGGGAAAATCAGCCAAGAAAAATGATAAAGCAACATTTTGAGAATTATATAAGACCTATCGCTCAGAATCCTTGAACTTTGATTTTTATTCTTGATATGGTTTGGCTGTGTCCCCACCCAAATCTCATTTTGAATTGTAGCTCCCATAATTCCCACGTGTTGTGGGAGGGACCCAGTGTGAGGTAATTGAATCAAGGGGGTGGGTCTTTCCTGTGCTGTTCTCATGATAGTGAATAAGACTCATGAAATCTGATGGTTTTATAAAGAGCAGTTCCCCTGCACACCCTCTCTTGTCTGCCACCATGTAAGACATAACTTTTCTCTTTATTTGCCTTCTGCCATGATTGTGAGGCCTCTCCAGCCATGTGGAACTGTGAGTCAATTAAACTCTTTCCTTATAAATTACCCAGTCTCAGGTGTGTCTTTATTAGCAGCATGACAACAGATTAGTATGATTCCTTTCAGAGATGGTAAGCAGAAGCCCTTATATTATTTTGCCCTCATCTTTTGTTCTTTAAAACCAGGGTTCACATTCTTGCAGTCCCTCTCCCAGCCCCCACCCTGCCCCCTTCCCACTCTTCCTTTTTATCCATTCATGGCCCTTTTATTTTTTTATTTAAATATTTTTCAGAAAGTACTTATTCCATGACCATCCTATAAGTGGATTACTTATAATTCTAAATCTCCAGTGTAGATCTGTCTTCTAAGCTGCAGTGTCCATGTATCTACCAGATACCTCCACCATAATATCCCAATAACACATCAAGCTAAGCTTTTTCTGATCTGAGCTTTACTCCATCACCCTCCTGTTCCCTCTCTGAATATATAGATAGTACAACTAACTCAAGGTAGAAACATGGTGTCACCCTTGACTCCTGTTTGTTTATTTTTTTTGGAATACTGCTCCTGCTTCTATCCCAGCCTCTCTAAAATATAGTTCATCTATCCTCTCCCTTCCACCCCCACCACCACTGCTTTAGTTCAAGCCCTCATCATTTCTTGTCTAGATTAGCATAATTGTCTCTATTTTTGTTTCTCTGATTCAAGTCTTCCTCTGCTGTAATTCATTTTCCATACACTAAACAGATGGAACTTTCTTAAAACACATCTAATATTGTCACTAAACTGCCAAACAATTCTTTATTGGCTCATGTTTGCCTTTAAGATAAAAGCTAAACTCTTCAGCTTGATTCACAATTAATAAATTGTGTGTATTGTTACATCTTTGTTATTCCTCATGCCCTAAATGTGATCATTAATTTTATATGTCAACTTTACTGGGCCACAGGATGCCCGTATATTTGGTTAAACTTGTCTGCACGGGAATTTCTGAATGAGATTAAAATTTGATTCGGTAAACTGAGTGAAGCAAATTGTTCTCCCTAATGTGAGTGGGGAATCTAATCCCTTGGAGGCCTACACAGAACAAAAGGCAGGGTGAGAGATAATGTATTCTCCCTCCCTGACCCTTTTTGAGCTGGGACATTGGTCTTCTCCTGCACTCAGACTGGAATTTATATCATCAGCTCTCCTGGGTCTACAGCTTGCAGATTGTGGGATTAGCCTTTATAATCAAATGAGCCAATACTTATAAATAAATAAATAAATGTCTATTTATCTGCAGAAACCTAACACACTGTACTCTACCAAACTTTAAATTTCAGCTAAACTGAACTGTTTTCAGTTTCCCCAGAATATCTTCTTCTCACACATCTCTGAGCTTCAAACATTCTTTTCTTGTTGTTATTGCAGCCTTTGAAACATTAACACACACATGCACATGCATATATACCTCTTTATTTGGCTAATATTCAACTTAACATCCCCACACTCCCACTCTCCTAAATTATAAGCCGCAAATGTGCACGAATCTCCCCCAAAGTTGTCGTTTTATTTTAAATTTAGCATATTTTCAGACTAAGCTCCAGGATAGGTAATAAAAAATTATGTTTTATTCAACAAATATGATAATGGTGATGATTGTGATGATAATAACCAATGATAATGTCTGTTATTTACTGAGTGCTCACTATATGGAAGGTTTTCTGCTAAGTATTCTCTCTGCATCATTTATTTTAACCTGCCCAAGCATTTCAAAGAATATTATTCCATTATTTTTAGATGTGAAAACTAAGAATTAATATGTTTAAATATCTTGCTCAAAAATATGCAGCTAATAAATGGTAAAGATGGAGCTGAAATCTAGGTCTAATATCATCTTTGTTGTTTCTCTGAACCATTTTATATACTGTTGCTTTCTCACATAAAACTCAAGTTTTTAAGTGGCTATTAAGTGTCTTGCCATTTATATGGTAATTCTTGCCCATTCTTCCATATGTATTCAGTTTGAAATTACAATGTAAACATGGAAACCATGATAAATGTAATAAAAATCAAACTGGTAATCCAATTTATAGATAAATGTTTGGGGTAATCTTCGCAGGTACATGACAGGGTCTACTTTTAATTCAATGTAAACCCCATACAACACTTACCTCAAGGCAAGGGAGAAAACTTGATCTAATTATCTTGGAATTTCATTTTCTAAAGGGTTCTCAGGAAGATTCTGAAAACCAATTGCAGTTTCTCTGGGTTTCCAGGAATTTTCCTGATAATTCCTTACTTATTGTGCTAAAATAAGCTGATGTTCTCAGTAGTGACTTTCTTGATCTCTGCTTTTGTAGCCATTTTAAATGTTGCACAAACTAATTCTCTCTTTTAAATATCTTGCTCTACTCGAAATACTTAACATGGCATCTGTATTCCTAACTTAATGCTCAGTAAGTTTTTTGGTATCAATGTACTATACCTTATGTTGTAATTTAAAGAAAACATTTAATAATACTACACAAAGAATACACTAACGATTTGGCTTTACATTATTTCATTAACAAAAGGAAAAAAATATCCAGTATCCAATTCTAAAGTAGAGGGTTTAGCAGCATCATATTAGATGAGGTTCTCTGTTTATCTTCAGCATCTGAAACACCAGGACAACAAGTTAAATCCCAAGGAAATCTCACCATACTGGTATTTAGATGTGGTACTTTTAAGTCACTGAAGCACTTTGTGGAATAAATGTGATTCTCATCCCCAAATTGCTCCAGGTGAAAAAGCGAGGTAAAGGGGGTTGATGTTGAAGCTGTTTCTTGTATAGTTTTGCCAGTCTCATTTTGTCACTCATGTATCTTGCACATGTTTCTCTCCTACTTACCAGACTTAGTTTCGTTGTTTACTTGCCTATTTCTCCTATTAGATAATAAGATACTTAAATGTAAGGGCCTTGTATTAATCACCTTTTTGTTGCCAACCCTACCAAGTGTCTGGTAAATAGTTAAGCATAAAGTAGGTGTTTGCTAATGAACCAAATCAAGTTTCTGAAAGTCAAAAGTACACACGGAGAGTGGCGGAAGGGATCCAGATTCTACTTAGATTTCTGATCTGCCTCACAGGCTCCTGGGAATCCTATAATAATCTCAGAATTCTGGAAAACCATCTGGCATAACAAGGAACTTTCTAAAGCAGCCTTAGAGATTTTAAACTTTCCTAAGCATCCTAACTAGGAGTTTCCCTGGAGTACCTTATTTAAAGATATTCAATATGTTACATACATAAAAACGGCAAGGAACTTAATAAATCAATCATCTTAACTCATTTTGTAGAAACGATGCCTTTTCAGTTGCTAAAGTTCTTTAAGAATCATGAAACAATAAGGGATTTGCTCTTTAATCTTTTATATTTATCCTTAGGTAAAAAAATTTATTGTAAGACTTGGAAAGATATGTCCTTGTTGGACCACAAGCAGTTAGCTCAATAATTAATTATTCAGAAGGCTATTTGAGGTGCTTAAAACCCCAGAGTACAGTAAGTTTACCAAAGCATTGGTACATGCAATATAACGTGAGAGCTCATTATCATAGATAATACACAGCTTAGTGGAAAAATTTATAAAGTACTAGAAAATGAAGTCTATTGTATTTCTCTAAAGGCATAAGAACTCACTATAAAGTACAGACATTTACAAAGCCTGCTACTAAGTCAGTTAATTCACAGTTCTGAAGGCATTTTCAGATAAGAAATCATAAAAACTTGGAGACAGTATGAGAATTAACAATAGACTAGGAATGCAGTCCCGAGTACTAGTTTCAGTTTCACCACATACTGTCCTTTTCATGACAGGCTGACCACAATAACTTTAAGGGCCATGCAATTATCCATCAGATAAAGATGTTAAAACTGCCTGCACACATTACAAGGCTGATGTGTAGGTTGAATCAACACGTATATAGATGTTATATACATATATACATATTATAACATATGTAACATATAGATGTTACAATTTAAAAATAACTTTTAAATTGTTATTATAACAGATGTTATTATAACATCTATATGTTACATATGTTATAATAACAATTTAAAAGTTATTTTTAAATTGTAAAATGCCATACAAATACAGAGCATCAAAACAATAAAGTAGATTTTCTGGATAGACACACAATTAATGAATAAAGATGAGTTCTATTATCTTTTAAAAAGTCTTCCTAGAAACTTATTAAAGATTATTTAAGTCCCCTTTTAAAAGTACTTCACATTTTTTAAACATTCACAATTGGAAGGTATATTTAAACTTTGGGAAATTAGAATATAATCTGATTAACAATGCAAGTTATCAGCAAAGTGATGAATTACTTAGGAGGAAAAAAGGGAGATACAGGTAAAATAATGATTTTTGTGAGTGAGTCTTCAAGACTGTTCCAAACAAAAAAAAGTCAAAAAAGTATTTGAGTAATGGAAGCAGCTTTGGATATGATTTTTTCAAGATGAAAATTTAGACATCTGGCATTCATGTAAAGATGTAAATTTTAAGACATTTGCTTTAGAGGGAAAGCATATTATTTGTGCCACAAATATAAAACCTCTCTTGTTTAAAGAAATAAAAGTCTAAAAATTAGCAAAATACATCAGCTTTTTGGAAGATATCACACAGATGGGTGTCTTCTTAAATTAAACATGCTTTATGTATCAAAAAACAAACTGAAGACTAAGATAAAAAGAAACGTGATGAGTATTTATATTACATAAATACCCTCTGATTCTCAAGTAGATCTCTTTAAAGTTTGAGATGCTTCTATATTTTTAAATATCAGTCAAACTAACAGTGTCAAAGAAAGTAGATACAAATAATAAATGACCCAGTAATTCAAGTTTTGTCATTGATTTTAAAATTACTTGAGGAAATATATCTGAGAAAAAAATTTTAAGAAGCAAAATATAGTTATATAACAATAGAAAATGATTAAATTAAATATTTTGCTTGTGGGGGTACTGTTATTAGAAAATATTCTTATTAAGATTGATATTTTTCCTAATTATTGAATTATTGGCAAATTGACATGTTTTAGGAATCTAGAAGAGGAAAAGTCTCCCTCTGCCTAAGGAAATCAGACAGACTTCATGAAAGTGGATGCGTTTAAATTCATTCTCGAAATATGAATTTGCCAGGCAAAGAGAACAAGAAATTTGCAGACATAGAGGAAAAAATGAGTATGTGCAAAATTGTGACAGCAAGAAAGAACATAAAATATGTGTGTAATGGTGAGATCTTGATTTGACTGGAGAAGAGAATACATAGAAGATAACTAGGGAAGTGAATTAAAGTTAGATTTGAAAGATTTAAATTTTACTATAATGGGCCTTCATCTTTATCATATGAAATTTGAACTTTACTTTCAGACAATGAAGCTAGTTCTCTGTTTTTTGAAAAGTGTATGCTACCATATTTGTGAATAATATAGAAAAATATGGATGACATGGATTGATGCTATGTCTTCCTTGATGCTGCAATTGCTTTAACTTGATTCTTTCCTTATTTACTTCTCATCATTAATTATAAATTCAAAAATGTATCTTAATGTGTCTGGTGTAACACTGGAAATCTAGTGTCATTTTAATAGATGTTTGAATGAGAGATAAAGAATAGTCAGAAAGAATGATTCTGACACTCTGCCATGGTTAGTTATTTAGTTAGTCCCAATAATGTGCCAGGCATTTTGCATACACTAATGAAGCATCAGTTTAATTGTCACATAAACCCTCAGAGATAAAGACTATCTTTGCTAATTTATACTTGAACAGACTTAAGATAAAGGCAGTTTGGTAAAGTTTCTCCACACCTCACGGATTATAATTTGAGGAGAAGAAATTTTGCCTGATTCTAAAGTCACAAAACTATGCAGTTCAACTTTATTATTTACTTCAATGATCATTTTTATGGTTTCTATCTTTACAGTTTCTTTCTAATTTGGTCTCGAGGTATCTGTTGACAGTGGCCATAAGCCATGATAGCCACACTCTAGGAGAGCTCTGATAGGATGAGGAGTGGGGGAGCAAGTTAGGTTCGAGTGTGTGGGTCAAGTGAGACACAAGGAGGAGGTGAAATCAAAATGCGTAACACAAAATAAATTTATCGCTCAGCATTCTCAGAGAGATTAGGGGTGCCAGAGGGAAGGCCGATGGGAAGTATGAAGGCAACATGGAGCTCAACTAGCTGGTGATGAATAGGAGAGTAAGTATCTCTAGGATCATGCCTTTAATAAGGGCCATGAGCCTTGTTTCTTAGGCTTTCCTGGGGGGGCTACGGGTTGGCTAGTTTAAAGAAAACATCCTTGAGGTAGGGGACTTATTTACATGACTCTGGTGTTGACCAGTAGTTTTTATTACGTTCAGCAGCTGTGGGATTTGTTGTGATTAGGGTCACTGGGATGAGAAAAACATTGGCTATATTGCAAATAACCACATGGGAGAGAAAGTTAAGGTGAGGAGATACAACTGGGTTTCAGACAACTTATTTCCAGCCTAAAAATGAATGCTGAGGCAGCAAACAAATTTATGACAATAATATAAGTGAAGTATCAATTTTATAAATAAAAAGAAAGAAGAGAGACAGAAGCTAACATAGCAGATGACAAAATCAGAGTTTGAAATTATCTTCACAGGCCAGGAAGTTGAGCCAAAATCAACAGGATGACAGCATATGTCTATATGCTGGCTTGTAGGTTCAGCAAACTGTTTACATAAGTTCGGTATTTTAAATAGTATTTTAAGTTCAGGACTCCAGTGAGTCCTCCTCACTAAAATGTGATCTGTTTATCTCAGTTCTTCACTGCTTACCACAGTACCTAGCAGTTAGGATGCTCAAAAAATGTTTAGTGAATGCAGGTAGAGATGCCTCTTATCCTGAATGCTATAGATCTCATGAAAAGGTAATCAATGCATGTAGATGCCACTATCCCTCTGCAGTTGCTGAGGATATAAGAACCCCATACCCACAACTGATGTTAGCATTCCAAATCAAATTCAGCAATTACAGTTTCCATACCTGATTGAAAATTTTACTTTAAGCATTTAATTAAGCAGTAGTAAATTCAATTAGCTACTGTAATTTCACAATTCTGAGTGTGACCTCCTTCTCAGAAAGAAAATGTAGCAGTTACTAGCTGAATAAAATGGTATTTGGGTCCATCACTTGCCACTATTGTTAGACTTATCAATTGTTTGGCACTACAGTGCTGTAATTTAATCTTTGATACCACCTCATGTCTTTATGTTTACCAGCTAAGTAATTTCCATGCATCTGGTTAAGTACTTCCTGTAAAATCTTATTTTTCTTCTGCTATATTTGTATCTCTTACTTTCTCTTTGTTAGTATGAAAACCTGAAACTGACCTTTTTTGAAAATTAACTATATGTTAATTACTTGACCCTAGGAATGATTTAATGCTCTTGCTCTTTTCTTCCTTGACCCTCTTCTCCCAGGAATATATCTATGTTTTCTATATAAATTCTCTTTCACTATTCTAATAACCATATAGAGAGCAATAATTGGATAACTTTAGCATTCATTATGTATAGAATAAGGGGTTTGTGCTGGGTAACACTTCATGCTCCCCACTTGAGCCTTCAGTTAACTCACTTTGATCCTAGATATAAGATCTGGTAGTGGTGTTGTGAAACCACAGGCTTAAAGCACATCCTAGTATGTGAGCAGCAATGGCTCTATGGAGTACCCTGGTCCATTGGATGAGTGAGACATTTTTCTGTCTGTCTTAGATTTCTATTGGATGCTGTCTTCTGATGGTTGTGGAATACACTTGTTTTCTGATATAATTTTTAGTCTGAAAAAAACATCGTGCCTTAATTTTCAATGGTGAAAATTTGGAGAATCTCTTTATCCTGGTACAATCCATAGAAGTCCACTGAATAGACACTGAGGCTCCACATAAAAACGTCGATGAAAGATTTGGGTTGACAAATGGGAGATGACTCACACCATAATAGGCAAGTAATGGTATTGTACAGAACCTGTGTGTTGCTTGTGTTATTTATTCATCTTTACATTATAATTTTTCTGTAAAAGTATCCAGCTCCACACTCTTCATTCTCCCCCAAGAACACCCTCATAAAAGACCATGCATGTGTACTAAGTAGAATGATCATGGCGCAATTGGCATTTCAGAATTGAGGGTTACATTTTTGCATACACGACATAGGTGCCTATTGATCAAGGGTGTACATTAAGATGTTAAAACTCCACACACGATTCTCAGCAAAAATTGTAAAGCATTTAAATTCATAGTTACCAATTGAGACCCACAGTGATCTTAACAATTTATATGATCCAAATATTAAATAACAAAAATCAGTGGATCAGCATGTGGATAGTGGTAGGTGTTTATGCCAATGCCAGTAGTTGCTCAGATATTTAAAACTGTTCAAGGAAAGTAACCTAAAGATATGCATAAGCTAAATATACTGCTAACTTAAAAAGTATTGAGTATATATTTTTTAAAGTAGGGGCTACTTGTTGCTTATGAAAGAGGAAAATGCACATAGGATGTCGGAAGAAATCAGTGGGGTAAAGTGGGTTTACTGTTGAAGAAGTCCTTTTTAATGGCTTTTCAGGCATGATAAGACCCACCTATTTCCAGCTTTTTTCTCTACCAGCCAATGACTTTGTGTGCTACTGAGGAAGACCAGAAAGTTGAGTGAAACCTAATTGTTGAACATTCCTCATGCTGCCTCAGCATTGTCTGAGAACATTCTAAACTAACAAAACCCAACCATAACGATGTAACTCATCAGATGCACAGACCAGCTTATCATTTGGATTCTGTCAGTTATACCATTGTCCTAAGAGTCCTTTTTTTAAAAAAAAATAGAGATGGAATCTCACTATGCTGCCCAGTCTGGTCTTGAAATTCTGGGCTCAAGTGATCCTCCCTCCTCAGCCTTATGAGTAGCTGGGATTGTAGGTATGCATTACCATGCCTGGACCCTAGGATTTTTAAGTTAACAGTCCAAAAAGAATTAAAGGGAGGCCAAGGCAGGTGAATTACCCGAGGTCAGGAGTTCAAGACCATCCTGGCCAACATGGTTAAACCTCATCTCTACTTAAAAAATACAAAAATTAGCCAGGCGTGGTCGTGGGTGCCTGTAATCCCAGCTACTTGGGAGGCTGAGGTGGGAGAATCACTTGAACCTGGGAGATGGAGGTTGCAGTGAGCCAAGATCATGCCATTGCACTCCAGCCTGGGTGATAGAGTGAGACGCCATCTTAAAAAAAAAAAAGAAAGAAAGAAAAACAAACTAGGCTAAGTAGCAAACTAGCAAACTGGGGCAAAACACCCATAAGTTATCTTTGGTAATGTGTAAATATGGCTGATCCCTTATTTCAATCTTATCAGACTCATAGGCTTCTGCACTTGCTTACAAGTAGCCAGGGAAAGGGATTGGTGATAGTACCTTGATAGCTGGTTATAATCTGTAGGTAGTGTAATAGTACATTTGTTTGATTAAATTTGGCCCCTGTTCTCACATCTTTACATTAACTCATTATCTCTTCTAATTTCTGTGATGATGGGAAACCATTCATCATGTCCTCACTAGACTCACATGAACACCAACAGGACTAGCAGAGATCATGCTGACATCCCAAGAGATGTTCCCAATTTCTATTCTGCTTCTTCTGCACATGAAGGGATGTAACAAAGTGATTTAGTCATTCCTTTGGAAAGATGACATCCCTGAAGCTCAATGTTACTACATCGAGTTATATTGTGATATTAACATTTTTAGAATAACTACAACTTTTACTTAGAAACAAACATTAATATTTATAGGTATTATATTCTCCAGGGATTTCTGGCTATGCTTACTCACAAACACACAGAATGAGGACTGCAGGATTTTTGTTTTATCATGTGTTATCACTAAGACCAGAGATAACAATTCAGTGTTCTCAAGTGTGAGCAATTTTTATCAATTGCGTAATGAGATTTCTTCCAGTGGCATGAACATGACAATCACTCTATCTCCCTAAAATCCTTCTTAAAAATTATGGAAAAACTAAAATAGTGAAATAAAAATCTGGACAAATGTGTGAACATCTCAAAGAGAATTTGGTGACAAAGTAATCCTGCAAACCTAGAATATGGGTGAACATGATCAATACTACCCCAAAATCATGAGCATTAATAGCAGCATTAATAACAATGAGAATTCACCCCAAAAGGAGATTGTAGATTGAGTGGAACTCTGAAGACAACTGGAAACATTTGGGAAAACTCTTTTATAAGTTCCAAGTTCAGAGTAAAGAGAAAAGAACAAAGAAAATCACTAAAGGGAGGTTGAGGAATCCAGATATTACCAAAGCAGTTTAGTTATCAAAGATCCTAGTAATATCAAACAAATATTCCCTTTGAAATGATAACACTTACTTTAAAATAAATGATATTTCAAGAGGCGATGAACACAAGTAGAAAACGTGACCATAGAAAAAGATGAAAACAGTAACCCAAGAGTTAAAATGAGCTAAAAGAATTAAGAATAAGATCTAAGTTTGAAAAGCAGCCAACAATGAAATCTGCACAGGTTCTAAGGCAGTGCTCACTGCTTTAATCATTGCATTTTGCAGTTGCTGTGCTTTCTGAGATATAACTCCTTTTTCTTACTGCCCACTCTTCAAACTGGCTCTTTTCCTGAGATGCACAGCATTATTCTTCTGCTGTATTTGAATTTTGCTTTCAGTAGATTTACTTCAAGACTATGAAATAATTAAAAGTTTACGTGTATAAAATAAAAACATGTTTGAAAATATGGACCTTGAGCTGATCCTAATCTTATAAGAAAGAAATATATTCAAATAACCAGAGAACTTGAAATATATATTGGATATTAAATGTTACCAGTTTTGTAATTATTTAGATGTGATAAGGCACAGTGGGTTTGTAAACTGCCTTTTTTGAGATGCGGATTGAATAATTTATGAAGTATTATGAAATACTGCAGCATAAGTAAAATAGCAAAAAGAATAGGTAAAATATGTATAGAAAGACACTGATGGATTCTAAAGCTAGGTGATGGTCATTGTACTATTTACTTCAGTATGCTTGGAAGTTTTCAAAATTAAAAAGTAAAAAAAGTGTATGAGAAATTAGGTTTGAGTATGTAGCAACACAGTTCATTAAACTGTTTATGACTTTGCTGAAATAATTATTATTGTGAAGTATTTCTAGATGGCCCCCTGTTTCTAACACTTCTGAGAATTTCCCTGTGATCAAGCACTTTCTCATGTGTTAGTTTTTTTTCTTTAAATGTAAATAAAAAATTGTATCACTTTCTAGTCATTGATAATCACAACCAATATTGTAACTCATCTTATAAGAAAATGTTTTTTTTTTAATTTTTATTTTTTTTATTTTTATTTTTTTTAGGCTTTCTCAGGCATGCACCTGAAAACTTTTCTTTTTTTTTTTTTTTTTATTATACTCTAAGTTTTAGGGTACATGTGCACATTGTGCAGGTTAGTTACATATGTATACATGTGCCATGCTGGTGCGCTGCACCCACTAATGTGTCATCTAGCATTAGGTATATCTCCCAATGCTATCCCTCCCCCCTCCCCCGACCCCACCACAGTCCCCAGAGTGTGATATTCCCCTTCCTGTGTCCATGTGATCTCATTGTTCAATTCCCACCTATGAGTGAGAATATGCGGTGTTTGGTTTTTTGTTCTTGCGATAGTTTACTGAGAATGATGGTTTCCAATTTCATCCATGTCCCTACAAAGGATATGAACTCATCATTTTTTAGGGCTGCATAGTATTCCATGGTGTATATGTGCCACATTTTCTTAATCCAGTCTATCATTGTTGGACATTTGGGTTGGTTCCAAGTCTTTGCTATTGTGAATAGTGCCGCAATAAACATACGTGTGCATGTGTCTTTATAGCAGCATGATTTATAGCCCTTTGGGTATATACCCAGTAATGGGATGGCTGGGTCAAATGGTATTTCTAGTTCTAGATCCCTGAGGAATCGCCACACTGACTTCCACAATGGTTGAACTAGTTTACAGTCCCACCAACAGTGTAAAAGTGTTCCTATTTCTCCACATCCTCTCCAGCACCTGTTGTTTCCTGACTTTTTAATGATTGCCATTCTAACTGGTGTGAGATGATATCTCATAGTGGTTTTGATTTGCATTTCTCTGATGGCCAGTGATGATGAGCATTTCTTCATGTGTTTTTTGGCTGCATAAATGTCTTCTTTTGAGAAGAAAATGTTTTTAAAAGCTTCCTTAGGTAGATGCAGTCTCCAGCACCAAGACAGTAAAGAGGGAGTAATACCTCTGCGTTATAAAATATGCAAATTGAGAGCTAACCAGACGAAACTTGGAAGGAGAGGGTGAGAAGAGGAGTGAGCAATAGTGGAAACTATCATACATGTGGCTACATCACTCAAAGGAGCCCCCTGCCTCCCAAACATCCACTTGATTCTTTGGCAATTCAGGGTCATTGTTTCTGGAGGAAAGTGAAACAATGAGCAAATAGGGCATCCTCCCACTGCCCCCTCTGTGTTACGGAATACAGAACATTTTGTGTGCCCTTTAAAAGATGTAAGAGACTCCATTCTTCACCTGGTACCCTTAAAAATCGAGAACTTTTCCTGTGCAGACATAAGAATTTGCCACCAGTCTCATCTCTGTCCATTTTTAAAAATTTTTTTCTAGGCCCAATTTAGGTTCAAATGAAGAAACAAGCTATACATTATCTCTCATTTCTATCCTGATGACAAGCACATCCCTCCCCTCCTCAAACCCTGTGATCTTTCTGTTGTTTTCAAAGGTATTGGCTGATCTTCACTGATACCTGTTTACATCAAAGGCACTAAATGCAGAGGGAAGAGAGTCCCAGGAACCCTTTTCCCTTTTCCCTTGAGGAAAAACAATTAACCCTTATGCTCATGGCCACTATATTAGTCTGTTTTCACGCTGCTGATAAAGACATATCTGAGATTGGGTAGTTTATAAAGAAAAAGAGGTTTAATGGACTCACAGTTTCACGTGGCCGGGGAAGCCTCACAATCAGGGCAGAAGGCAAGAGGCACATCTTACATGTCGGCAGACAAGAGAGAATGAGAGCCAAGTGAAAGCGGAAGCCACTTATAAAACCATCAGATCTCATGACACTTATTCACTACCACGAGAACACTATGGAGGAAACCACTGCCATGATTCAGTTATCTCTTACTGGGTCCCTCCCATAACACGTGGGAATTATGGGAGCTACAATTCATGATGAGATTTGGGTGACAACACAGCCAAAATTATCAGCCACTATAGGGCCTTTTCCCTTCTCTTTAAAACACTTTTTTTTTAAATTGTTCAAAGAGATACCTTTGAACCCCAGTTTTCTAATATTTCAGTTTTGTACATCTTTGTATTGAAATCCTATGTTTAGTATAAAAATCATAAAAAATGCTCTGTATATGAGTAAAAAGACAAAAATATGGAAAAAATAAACAGAGATTCAGCAAATCATTCATATCATAAATATTGTGAAATGTTACTTGTCCAAAATTAAGAATTTCTTTCACAATATTTATGGTATGAAGAATTTGCTGATTCTCTATGTGTATCTTTTCCATATTTTTGGTTTGCATTAAATCCTATGAATTGTAATCCCAGGAAAACCCGCAGATCTTCAACTATAAGCATATTGCCCTTACTTTGAAAACAATTAAATAGCAAAGTAGAAAAACCGGGATTGATGATGAAAGTGGGAGGCATGTTATTTTCTAAATAGAAATATGGGAAAGTATACACTGAAAACTCATAACAGAAAAATGGAAAATAACTCAAGCAGACTTTTCCGTAGGGGCAAACAACCCTCCATTTCCCATGTAATTCTAAAGGCATCATCAAACTGCTGCCTGCTCACCTTCAAGACAATGACACTGAGCTACCAAGGAAAAGATAGAATAAACATCAAATTCATCTTTAGTCCACTTTCTTCCAAGTGCTAAAATTGTAGATTTGAGTGGTCATGATATAAAAAATAAAAATGTATTATCTGGGAGTTTAGTAATATGGAATTAAATAAATTCCCAATGAATTTATTTAAATGAAGATTCTCTGGTAACATAAAATAATGGTAAATGTGAAATTCTTTCCTCTCTTCTCTAAACATATATTTTGAATCCTGACTCTGATAATTTATAGCTGTGTGACGTTATGAAAACAACTAATCTGTCTTAGCCTCAGTTTTCTTATCCATCAATCAGGAGTAGAATTCATTAATAGCTTCATAAAATATCCTGGCTAGGATTTGCCGAATTAGAAATACATATTTTTAATAGTATTTAAAAATTCTTTTTCTTCATCTTGTAAATTATTTTAAACAAATTTTAGAGCATGTGAGACTTCTTTTTATCCCAAAAAAGTTCCCTTATTCAATAGAATTTTCCTCAAAGACATGTTTAAATGTGTCTGCGAAATATAAAGATTTCTATTCTTGAAAAATAACTATTATAGCACATAGATATATATGAAAACTAAGATGGCAAACTAAATGAAGTCAACAAAACAGTCAAAACAACATGCTTACATTTAAAGCCTTTTCCCTTGAGTAAAGGCATACTGCCTGGAACTCCTATCCTGAGTTGGCAAACTCCCCACTTTCACACTTAATGATGGCTACTAGGTGTTCTATCAGTATGGATGAACAAAATCAGTACTTCTGCAGAATCAGATAACCTACTTTAAATAAACGTAAGGCAGTATTTTACGTCTTTCATCTTGGCAGGTTGTTTTTACAACTTTGTAAGCTAAAAGATATGAACCTCTGCGGATAAATGCTGCTTGGGGCTGAATAGCTTCACTCGTTCATCAGACTTTTGATGTTAGCGAACTACAGTGGAAAATTCGGAGGAGTATTATGAATTCACAGCAACTGTGGATGAGTGGCTGGGGATTAGGGAGAATTCGTTTTAGCCTCCTGTTATCTGTCCCTTGTCAGAACAGAACTCTGTAATGCTTGACTGCCTTTCAGTGCTAAATGTGATGGTAAAACCTGGTGATGATGACTACTTTAAGAGGATATAAATAATATCTAACGTTTGTATAACACAATATCATTTTAAAAGCACTTGCACATTCATTCTCCAATTTCACCCTCACAACAATCTTATGAGACAGGTAATAATCTTTTTCTTTTTTTCCTGTTTTGTTTTGTTTTTTAAAAAAATCGAAAACTAAGGCTCAGGGATTACAATGGACTTGAGAAAGTGAACAATGTCTGAAAATGGAAAGTGAAGGTCAATATGCCTCCACATTTTATGGAAACTAAGGCCTGAATTTACTAGCTGTATGAGCTTGAACGACTGATTGAATGTGAAGCATTTTTCTTGAGGTTTGATTGGGAAAATGTTATGGCCCACAAGGGGGTGATTAGCATCAGATGAGAATACATTTAATATATTCTCATGATGTGTAACTTGTAATAGATGCTCATCACCTATATTTCCTTCTTGTATTTCCAAACTTCTTGCTTTTTTACAATTTACTTCTCAACCTCTGAGTCGAGTTAGCCCCTAGTATAATTTATGTGAACAAATAAAAATCATGTGACTTAATGAGAAGTTGGACTAAGTGAATAGGTGCCCAGATTTTAGTACTGCATTATAATAGCTTATTGTTTGTCCAATGACAAGCTATTTTACACTTTTTTATCTATGAAAAGAGGAAAATGGCTGGGCATGGTGGCTCACACCTGTAATCCCAGCACTTTGGGAGGCCGAGACGGGTGGATTGCCTGAGGTCAGGAGTTCACGCCCAGTCTGGCCAACATGGTGGAACCCTGTCTCTACTAAAAAATACAAAAAAATTAGCTGGATGTGGTGGCGTGCACTTGTAATCCCAGCTACTTGGGAGGCTAAGGCAGAGGAATTGCTTGAAACAGGGAGGTGGAGGTTTCAGTGAGCCGAGATCGTGCCACTGCACTCCATAGCCTGGGTGACAGAGAGAGACTCCATCTCAAAAAAAGGAAAATGACTTACTATTTCATAAAGTTTTTTTTAACCTCTAAATCTATCAAAGAAATTAAAGGGAGGGAAGGGTACAATGGTGTTTTGGACACTATTTGGCGTTTTTGAAAACTATTGTGACATTTCTGAATTCAGATTTAAAATAAGTATTTATTAATCACTAAAGACAGGACACATAGTTATAACAAGACTATTACAATACTAAAATGATGGCATAGCTCAAAGAGAACTTCAGACCTCCAGCTTACCATAGGATGTCTGTCTATTCAGCTACCCCTGAAGTTGCCTCTGCTAACTTCAGTAGTATGTGTTTTCTTACCTTGAAACAATAAAAGTTTAAAGTCAAGAAAACAAAACTAAAAACTTTCTACTCTTTTAAACAGGCCTTAGTTTCAATACAAAGTAGAGATATATTGAACTAAACTTTCCATTTTTAAACATTGTTTACTTTCTCAAGTCACTTGCAATCCCTGAGCCTTAGTTTCTGCCTTTGTTTAAAACAAAACAAAAAAAAAAGTAAAAAAAAAAAAAAAAAAAAAAAAAGAAAAGAAAAAACAAACAAAAACTTCTGAAAGAAACACACTCACAAGGAAACTGTGCAATTAAAACCATTCCTGGTTTCACATCACGACAACAAGTTCTCCACTTCTTAAAAACAGAGATTGCCAGGAAAAAGATTAAAGGTCATTTTGCTTCACACCAATGTTTTGTCTTTGGACTCAGCTACAAAATCGGTGTTCTAGTTGGAAATGTGAATAATCCTGACTATGAAACAAAGGTGATGATTTGGTGGAGCTGACATACTTCTGGCCAAACTTCTAAATAACAGTTTTTTCTGCAACTACTTTCAGAATCAAAAATATACTCAATGCTCCAGAGCAGCATCATAAATAGTATTTAGAATCTTCTTTGGGGTAGAATTCCAGCAAATTATGACATATAGAACATATATATGTGATTATATATTTTTATTTGAGAAGGCAGCAGAAAGCAATTATAAAATATGTAAGACTAGGACATATTTCACATTTCTTGGATACTTCTCTATTTTCTTTTAAAAAACTCAGGTGCTTTGGGAGGCTAAGGCGGGCAGAACACTTGAGGTCAAGAGACCAGGCTGGCAAACAAGCCAAAACCTCATCTCTACTTAAAAAATACCAAAACTATCCAGGTGTGATAGTGCATGTCCGTAGTCCCAGCTACTCAGGAGGCTGAGGCCGGAAATTCACTTGAACTCGGGACAGAGGTTGCACTAAGCTGAGATCATGCCACTTCACTCCAGCCTGGGTGACAGAGCAAGACTCTATCTCAAAAAACAACAACAATAACAACTCAGGTTATAAGCTTTTAATATGTATTTCCAAATTTTATTATATTTGATTACAAATGATAATTACTCCATACTATCCCTTTTTCATCCGTTTAATACTTTCCAGTCTGTTAGATAAGAAATAACTATCTCTGTTTTAATTTGCTTTTTAATTTATTTTTAGTGAGATTGTACAACTTTCAAAACGTAGGAGATGCAGTCAAAGCTGAAATCAAAAACATTCAGAGCATTGGATGTTTTTATAATCAAACATGGAAAAACAAAACTAAATTAAATAAGCGTTACATTTTATAAATTTTAAAAATTAAGGCGCAGTCTGGGGGGGAAGGATAAAAATGGGCTTAATAAATGTAAAATAAAAATTAACAACAAAAAATAATTGAGTAACAGACCCAACCTAGTAAGACCAAAAAGAAATAGAGGTGAGCTATGATAAAGGTAATTATATGTTATAGCTAAAGATAAATTATATGTTATAGCTAAAGATAAAGGTAATTATATGATACATGTAAAATGTTATTTAATAGAAAATCAAGGAACTAAACTATAAGTAATATGATAATTACAAGTAGGGTGACTAACGTATTATCCAAACCATTATTTTTTTAGAAATGAAAAGAGCTGCTATAATAATTATATCAGAACCACAAGTGTCAAATGGTACTATTCCAGGCAAAATGGGAGGGAGATAAGTTGTAAGTCAAATATAGAGACATCAGTTGCTTTTCTGTACACCAGATGTGAAAACTGACATAACACAATGAATGAGACCCTCAAATGAAGGTCAAAAACCTAACAAATGCTATAAATATACACTGAATCTTTATTGAAGAAAAGCATAAAACTTTAAGGATGTAAAACGAGTAAATGAAGAAAATTGCCTTCCTGGATGGGAAAGTCTAATATAATTAAGACTTTCCCAAATTAACTTAAAACTATAAGGAAATTAGAATAAAATCTTTATTTTCCTTGTTTAGAGGGGTAGGTGAAGGGAGTATTGACTAGTTGAAATGGTTGTATGGATGAATAATGCATAAAGATAGTGCAGACAAATTAGAAAATGGATGAAAATGGACTTGGACTGAACAAAAGTATAAAGCCACACTAAGTCAAAGAGTGTGCTATTGATGGGCATTTAATGTTAAAATACTAACAATATAATGTGAAGTACTTGCATTAATACACTATATTACTAATTACATATTAAAGCATATTAATATCTTTAAGCTTTCTGCTAATCCTGCGACATCAGTCTTTGTTGTCAACATCCCCTTGGAAAATTCTTATCATTACAAGATTTTGAAAATATAGAGAAACAAATTAAATCAATAAACCAAGCTATTGTAGTTCTTAAGCTTGTATATACAGAGTAAGACAAATGGAATCCAAATATGATGTACTAACTTCCTGGTCTTTATGAGTACTGGAGCTGGATAATTAGGTTCGAATTCTAACTCTGTTCCTTTCATTCAGTGTGATTTTGTGCAAATTACTTAACTCTTGGTGTTCCAATTTCCTCAATTGTTAAATGAAACTAATAATAGTGCCTTACTGTATCAGTCAATACTAATAAAAAACAACCATTAAATCTCAATGGTGTTCAATATAGGAAACATTAATTTAGCTGACATTTCTGTGGTCAACTGGGGCTTGGATGATCTGATGAGTCCCAGTTGGTGGCAGCTTGTTTCTGATGTCTCTGTTCCACATATTTATCGTCCTCCTCCTAGGACCAGCAGTCTAGTCTGGACTAGTTATTCCCACTGTGAGAGGAGAACCTCAATCATGCTAGGACCTTCCAAGCCTTTGGTTGCATTATATCTGCTAACATTCTCTTGGTTAAAGCAAGTCATAGGACCAAACTCCAAGTCAAAAGACAAAGAGATTAACTCCACCCAATAAGGCAGTGTGGAGAGTGAATATTTTTTAATAATTACTTGAGTTTTAGGGAAAAAATACCTAATAATTTAAAATACTTAGTTCCTGGCACAGAGAAAATACTCAACTATTATTATTATTATTTTGATTATTTTCTTTTTGTGTTAACTTGGTTGCCATATAACAACTTATAGAACTTTGTTGTTATAAACTTAGTTGCTATATAAGATAAACAATATAATCCCCAATAATTATTTCTCTCAGCAACTACAAGGTATTTAAAAGATTACATCTTTGGTCTAGAAGGGTAAGGAGAGAATAGATATTAGTCTACTTTTTTTCTTACCTAAATTAAGCTTGAAGCTATGCAGACTCAAGTGACAGAAGCCAGACTAGAAAAAGAAAAATGGAAGGTGCAGAAGTGAGAACATAGTTGCAATTACTCCTCTCAATAGCTGTAATATATTGAGCTTATAATTCACTGTTCTCATTGTAACAGCTTCATACTTGTATTGTTTTCGAATTTCACCTACTTTCATATATGATGACTCTGGCATCCAAAACCTCTATATAGTTGTTAAGGTGGGCATCATTATGTATAATTTATACGTGGAGTATTAAGATTCATATAGCTTTTGCCTTGACAAAGTTCTTAAGCTAATTAGCAATGGAGCTGTTATTATACCTGAATGCTGCTTTACCATGCTGGATCTGGCTTAATCGTGTAATAAAATCCGTCCAAAAGCTTTGCTGATTAACAAAGTCACCACACACTTTTCATTAGTCCTCCTCACCAATCTGTTGGAGATATATAATTGCAAGTGTTTACAAGTGTTGACTTTGGAAGCACAGAATGTGGGCCCAAGATCAAAGCAAAGGTGTTTCATTTCCTGGGTAATGTAGACTAAAAGATGAGGTAAAAATATTATGCTTCTCCTGAATAGTTTCCGTAGATAATTAATATGATATAGTTATTGATTTTTCCAGTTGTGAAATTATCCATTTATAGGAAACCTAACTGACAATTTCAGTTGGTCTCATATTATTATAGTAAAATTCCTCACAGAATTAAGTAATCAATTTTTCCTTTGTTCTTTAACTAATGGTGGGCTCGTTTAATAGCCAAATCCATTAAGTTAATTACATATTGGATCTACTTGCTGCTCAATTAGAGTGCACATAAACATGCAATTTCATAATTCAAGTTATAAATATTAACACAATATTCAATTTATAAATAGAAGATTATTTTGATGTACCTTGTGAAAGAAGACATTCATAAAATGGGTGCTAAGATGCTAACCAATAACAATAAAAATATATTTTTATGGTGCATCTTTGCCTCACACTTTAATACCAGAATATACATTTTAATTATTGCCATCTTTTAATTGCTGTCACTTACGGTTTTCCAATTTTAGAAGCTGCAACTATTCTCTACTACACTCTTTCTATAACACTCCACATTCTCAAAGCCCACATACACGGGGTCAACAAACCCTGTTAGTCTGGAAGAGTCTTGCTGATGCCTTTCCTCCACTCACTCCCCACTATTGGTGTTATATTTGAGCCAAAACCATTTCTCTCTAGAGAAAAGTTGCAGAAGTATATAATACATTGGCTCTCTGCTTCAATTATTTCTCTATTCTAGCCCACTTTCAGTGTTGTCCATGATTTAACTTTTATCAAAATTAAATGGAATAAGGGGAAAAAAGAAGTGGAAGGGTGTTTCAAAATGATGGCATCATACCTGTAGAATTGACATTGGGGAAAAGCATTAAAATATGTGTGTCTAGATGTAAGGTACATGGTTCATTAATAAGCAATATGTAATACAGGAAAAAGTGGATGATTTCCATCGCCTTGCTGCTTACAAATTAAGGTTAGACTCCTTAATATGGTACAAGAGCTTCAAAACTGCACTAACTTTTCAGCCCATTCTTCCCCAGAGGAATGTTTTTGTCAGCCATGTGTCCATTTATGCCTTCCTTCAGTAACTCCTGGAAGCCTCTGTCTTCCAAACTGAGGATATCTCCTCATCTTCTAATTCCCAATCCAAATGGCATCCCTTCTGTGAACCTTTTCTCAAATATTTGAGGCAAAGATAGCTTACCCCCTCCATGCACTCACTTTGAACCTTTGCTGATTTTATAGCCTATGTTATACTGTGGTTGTTGAAAGGTATGTCTTTCTTAAAAGCTGAGTTTTTCTTATTCCTGATTCTTCAGCTGCTGACACACAATCCAGCACACAATAGTGCTTGTTGAATAAATAAATACATAATGTGTTTGAGAAAACACATCAGCTAACAAAAACCTCATCAAATCACATCAAGGATCTCAAATTTGAGTTAATCTCAAACTGTTTTATTTTCAGCCTCTACATTTATTGAGTAAATTGTACACTAGGGATCGGTTTTATAAAAATTTGCAGTCCTGTCTTTTATATTAATGCCTCCATGGTGTCCCATGAACCAGTTTAATATTGTGGACAAAGAATGTGATTTGAGGTGAAAGAACATGGCTTTCGGTACCACTTTGACATTTTCTTGTAATGTGACCTTGTAGAAGTTACCTAACTTCTCTGAGACTCAATTGCCTCCTCAGAGAAGAGGAGGATGATAAAGGTGGCTCTAACTCACAGACTCTTATAACAGATTGTTGTAACCCCAGGGTAGGTGTGAGTAACTAATGAAGACTTATAGCTCTCAGCCCCTTGCTAAGCTTCCTAATTTCCTCCCTAACCTGCATGAGCTGATCACATTAAACATGCTCGACATCCAGGTTCTTAAAGCAGAAATTGTGTAGTGGGATTTCAGATGCAAATATCAAAATGAGAATTATGGTTTCTGCTGTTGCTAACATAGATCCCTGCCTTAGGCCTGGGAATTCTTACCAATGAGGCTCCACAGGCTGGAGAATTTCTTTAATGCAGAAAAGAGTGAATGAGATAGCTTGGGGAAAAGGTTTATTCTATCTTCTGTGAGAATTCATAACTCTTCATCTAGGGGAGAAAACAAAGACCAGGGTCAGAGCTCAAGTGCTCAAGAAGTATCTCTGTGATAACCAGAAACCTAGAAACAGACTCCTCTTCATACCCACACAATTTTTTTATTATTATTATTATACTTTAAGTTTTAGGGTACATGTGCACAATGTGCAGGTTAGTTACATATGTATACATGTGCCATGCTGGTGTGCTGCACCCATTAAATCGTCATTTAGCATTAGGTATATCTCCTAATGCTATCCCTCCCCCCTCCCCCTACCCCTCAACAGTCCCCAGAGTGTGATGTTCCCCTTCCTGTGTCCATGTGTTCTCATCGCTCAATTCCCATCTATGAGTGAGAACATACAATGTTTGGTTTTTTGTCCTTGCGGTAGTTTACTGAGAATGATGATTTCCAATTTCCTCCATGTCCCTACAAAGGATGTGAACTCATCATTTTTTATGGCTGCATAGTATTCCATGGTGTATATGTACCACATTTTCTTAATCCAGTCTATCATTGTTGGACATTTGGGTTGGTTCCAAGTCTTTGCTATTGTGAATAGTGCCACAGTAAGCATACGTGTGCATGTGTCTTTATAACAGCATGATTTGGGTATATACCCAGTAATGGGATGGCTAGGTCAAATGGTATTTCTAGTTCTGGATCTCTGAGGAATCGCCACACTGACTTCCACAATGGTTGAACTAGTTTACTGTCCCACCAACAGTGTAAAGGTGTTCCTATTTCTCCACATCCTCTCCAGCACCTGTTGTTTCCTGACTTTTTAATGATTGCCATTCTAACTGGTGTGAGATGGTATCTCATTGTGGTTTTGATTTGCATTTCTCTGATGGCCAGTGATGATGAACATTTTTTCATGTGTTTTTTGGCTGCATAAATGTCTTCTTTTGAGAAGTGTCTGTTCATGTCCTTTGCCCACGTTTTGATGGGGTTGTTTGTTTTTTTCTTGTAAATTTGTTTGAGTTCATTGTAGATTCTGGATATTAGCCCTTTGTCAGATGAGTAGGTTGTGAAAATTTTCTCCCATTTTGTAGGTTGCCTGTTCACTGTGATGGTAGTTTCTTTTGCTGTGCAGAAGCTCTTTAGTTTAATTAGATCCCATTTGTCAATTTTGTCTTTTGTTGCCATTGCTTTTGGTGTTTTAGACATGAAGTCCTTGCCCATGCCTATGTCCTCAATGGTAATGCCTAGGTTTTCTTCTAGGGTTTTTATGGTTTTAGGTCTAACGTTTAAGTCTTTAATCCATCTTGAATTAATTTTTGTATAAGGTGTAAGGAAGGGATCCAGTTTCAGCTTTCTACATATGGCTAGCCAGTTTTCCCAGCACCATTTATTAAATAGGGAATCCTTTACCCATTGCTTGTTTTTCTCAGGTTTGTCAAAGATCAGATAGTTGTAGATATGCGACGTTATTTCTGAGGGCTCTGTTCTGTTCCATTGATCTATATCTCTGTTTTGGTACCAGTACCATGCTGTTTTGGTTACTGTAGCCTTGTAGTATAGTTTGAAGTCAGGTAGCGTGATACCTCCAGCTTTGTTCTTTTGGCTTAGGATTGACTTGGTGATGTGGGCTATTTTTTGGTTCCATATGAACTTTAAAGTAGTTTTTTCCAATTCTGTGAAGAAAGTCGTTGGTAGCTTGATGGGGATGGCATTGAATCTATAAATTACCTTGGGCAGAATGGCCATTTTCATGATATTGATTCTTCCTACCCATGAGCATGGAATGTTCTTCCATTTGTTTGTATCCTCTTTTATTTCATTGAGCAGTGGTTTGTAGTTCTCCTTGAAGAGGTCCTTCACGTCCCTTGTAAGTTGGATTCCTAATATTTTATTCTCTTTGAAGCAATTGTGAATGGGAGTTCACTCATGATTGGGCTCTCTGTTTGTCTGTTATTGGTGTATAAGAATTCTTGTGATTTTTGTACATTGATTTTGTATCCTGAGACTTTGCTGAAGTTGCTTATCAGCTTAAGGAGACTTTGGGCTGAGACAATGGGGTTTTCTAGATATACAATCATGTCGTCTGCAGACAGGGACAATTTGACTTCCTCTTTTCCTAATTGAATACCCTTTATTTCCTTCTCCTGTTCTGATTGCCCTGGCCAGAACTTCCAACACTATGTTGAATAGGAGTGGTGAGAGAGGGTATCCCTGTCTTGTGCCAGTTTTCAAAGGGAATGCTTCCAGTTTTTGCCCATTCAGTATGATATTGGCTGTGGGTTTGTCATAGATAGCTCTTATTATTTTGAGGTACGTCCCATCACTACCTAATTTATTGAGAGTTTTTAGCATGAAGGGCTGTTGAATTTTGTCAAAGGCCTTTTCTGCATCTATTGAGATAATCATGTGGTTTTTGTCTTTGGTTCTGTTTATATGCTGGATTGCATTTATTGATTTGTGTATATTGAACCAGCCTTGCATCCCAGGGATGAAGCCCACTTGATCATGGTGGATAAGCTTTTTGATGTGCTGCCGGATTTGGTTTGCCAGTATTTTACTGAGGATTTTTGCATCAATGTTCATCAAGGATATTGGTCTAAAACTCTCTTTTTTGGTTGTGTCTCTTCCTGGCTTTGGTATCAGGATGATGCTGGCCTCATAAAATAAGTTAGGAAGGATTCCGTCTTTTTCTATTGATTGTAAAAGAACAGAAATTATAACAAACTGTCTCTCAGACCACAGTGCAATCAAACTAGAACTCAGGATTAAGAAACTCACTCAAAACCGCTCAACTACATGGAAACTGAACAACCTGCTCCTGAATGACTACTGGCTACATAATGAAATGAAGGCAGAAATAAAGATGTTGTTTGAAACCAACGAGAACAAAAGCACAACATACCAGAATCTCTGGGACACATTCAAAGCAGTGTGTAGAGGGAAATTTATAGCACTAAATGCCCACAAAAGAAAGCAGGAAACATCCAAAATTGACACCCTAACATCACAATTAAAAGAACTAGAAAAGCAAGAGCAAACACATTCAAAAGCTAGCAGAAGGCAAGAAATAACTAAAATCAGAGCAGAACTGAAGGAAATAGAGACACAAAAAACCCTTCAAAAAATTAATGAATCCAGGAACTGGTTTTTTGAAAGGATCAACAAAATTGATAGACTGCTAGCAAGACTAATAAAGAAAAAAAGAGAGAAGAATCAAATAGACGCAATAAAAATGATAAAGGAGATATCACCACTGATCCCACAGAAATACAAACTACCATCAGAGAATACTACAAACACCTCTACGCAAATAAACTAGAAAATCTAGAAGAAATGGATAAATTCCTCGACACATACACTCTCCCAAGACTAAACCAGGAAGAAGTTGAATCTCTGAATAGACCAATAACAGGATCTGAAACTGTGGCAATAATCAATAGCTTACCAACCAAAAAGAGTCCAGGACCAGATGGATTCACAGCCGAATTCTGCCAGAGGTACAAGGAGGAGCTGGTACCATTCCTTCTGAAATATACCCACACAATTTTAATATCCTGATAGCCTCATCTTACTGCCTGACCCAGGAATTTTGATGACTTGAAGAGGTATTATTGCCTTGTTTCTTTAATGTTTTCCTATTACAGATGTATGGAATAGACTCATTATTGGACAATTTACAAATCCTCTGACAATATACTTCTTGAAACTCTTCATCTCTTCATGCTCCTGATCAGACTAGCAAAATTCTCTGGATTTTTGTGTTGAGTTTTTGTGGGGCTTTTTTTTCTTGCTTTCCTGCCTCTCTCCTTCCCTCCTTTCTTCTTTCCTTTCTCCTCTCTATCTATTCTCTTGCCATGTGATGGTTAATACTGAGTGTCAACTTGATTGGATTGAAGGATTCACAGTATTGACCCTGGATGTGTCTGTGAGGATGTTGCCAAAGGAGATTAACATTTGAGTCAGTGGGATGGGAAAGGTAAAACCCACCCATAATCTGGGTTGAAACTAATCAGCTGCCAGTGTGGCTAGAATATAAGCAGCAGAAAAAATGTGAAAAGACTAGACTGGCCTAGCCTCCCAGCCTACATCTTTCTCCTGTTCTGGATGCCTTCTGCCCTAGAACACTGGACTCCAAGTTCCTCAGCTGGGGACTCGGACTGGCTCCCCTTGCTCCTCAGCTTGCAGATGGCCTGACAGCCTATTGTGGGACCTTGTGATCATGTGAGTTAATACTTAATAAATAAATACATATATATATATATATATATACATATATATATATATATATATATATATATCTCCTATTAGTTCTGTCCCTCTAGAGAACCCTGACTAATACAGCCACTTCTTATTAAAAAAAATGCCTCACACACAAGGCAATAAGATCTTACACTTCTATTCAATATGTGACTTTTGATACGGAGAAAAGTTTGTAAATATTGGTCAATATCTTCTTAACAGTGGACTCAGATTCTGACTCTATTATTTTATAAATAACCTGTTATACAACTTGTGGTCAGTTACTTCATGACTTTTAAACCACAGGTCCTTAAATGGGGACAAAAGTAATACCATTTTCATGAGGTTGTTATGATAAATCTATGAAGCCCATATCACAGTGTCTGGAACATAATAAACACTCCAATATTATTTTTTATGAATAATACTTCCCCAAATATGTACCTACATCCAAAGATGTGCTGGAAGCTCAATACTGTCTTTTAAAAGCATTGTTAAATATTCAGAAATTTTACTAGTTGGTTATTAACTGTTGATACTTGAAATTGACAATAGTGCAAGTACAAAGACCAGGTAAATTAGCAAATACTACAAATTTGGGCTTATGTTTTGAGAGATAGTTTACCAACCTATCATTGTTTGTATACAATATATACATGGGACAAAAAATAATATTGTAGTGTTTAATGTTACCAATATAGGTCACCATATATTAACCCAAAACATCTGGATATTAAGTACTGTATATAGGTTTCTTCCATTACAGTTGTAATGATGATAAAACAAGCTAAGTTGTATAAAAGAACATTGGCAGCTCTAAAGTAAGTTGTGGCTAGGCTCACACCTGTAATCCTGGCATTCTGGGAGGCCGAGGTGGGAGAATTGCTTGAAGCTGGTAGTTCGTGACCAACTTGGGGAACATAGCAAGACCCCCCATCTCTACAAAAAAAAGTTGTAAGGTTATTTTCTGTTCTGTTATTAGTGACAATTCAAAAAGAAACATGATTACATAATCTAAAAGAAATCATTTGTTAAGTATCTCCTTTCATTAGAGTTCCAAAAATAACTTTGTGTTGTGACATTCCTAAGATTATATTGATTTTTTTGCCTACGTGTTTTATTTAGGAGACTGAGCAATTGAAAGAGAGACAAGATCCAGGCTCTTTGACTATCAACCGCATGCTTTTTTCCTACCTCATTCTACCATTCCATGGTTGGGATTTTGGCAAAAGCTGCACCAACTAATTAGCACATCAATTGAGGCTTTTAATCTCTCTCATTCTCCTTATGTGAACTTTAGAATTTATCTTCCATGGTGTTCTCTTGCTTACACAAACAAAGAATAATATTCATTTCCTTGGGTAGTATGCATATATAATGATCTCTTTACTTGAAATGTCCTTTGCCTTGTCCCTTCCAGGCAAGTTTGCCTCATTCCTTCCCCTGCTAAACCTTCCTGATAGCTTAAAAACTGTCACTACTGAATGTATTATTACATGCATTTCAATTATTTACATAACTACTCATAATTTTTTGGACACTGAAATATTTTGGAAGGAATATTGGGTAATATAACTGTGTAAGATCATTGTATATTCTCTTTAAAATTCTGCTAATATCTTACATTTTTATACTTTATTGCATAAGGATTCTAAAGATAATTTGTCTTTTTGAGCAAGCATGTTGAATGGAATGAATCATACTTTCTGGGAACTGTTGCTCATATTTTACTAATCTGGATAGTTACAAACTTAACACGAAATTAAACCACTCATTAAATCCTGTTAGGATTTACTCAGTTATAAACACACTAGTCAGTATTGGCATAATTCCCTTTTGCTAATCTCTAAGGTACAATGGATTCATGAAGAATCTTGCCATGGTGTCTGACAATGATGGGAAAGTCTGGATAGGTTTAGTCTTTGCCATTCAGCTAATGGAGGACAGTGTAAATGAGGCCAATATCAGCAGCTTGTTTTTATGATCCAGTTAATTTTGAGCAATTTGCTAGGGAGGCAAGATCCCAGGCCCTCTGATTAGTATTCATTACATAGGTTATATAGAGAAAAATAATTAGACCCTTCAGTTAATTATAATACACTCTGCATTAGTCTGTTTCCATGCTACTGATAAAGACATACCCGAGACTGTAAAGAAAAAGAAAAAATCAAATTTTAAAGATCCAAAATGATCTCCTTTGACTCCAAGTCTCATGTCCAGGTTACACTGATGCAAGAGGTGGGTTCCCATGGTCTTGGGAAGCTCTGCCTCTGTGGCTTTGCAGGGTACAGCCTCCTTCCTGCCTGCTTTCACAGGCTGGTATTGAATGTCTGGGGGGGATTTTCCAAGTACACAGTGCAAGCTGCAGGTAGATTTACAACTCTGGGGTCTGGAGGACCATGGCCTTCTTCTCATAGCTCCAGTAGGTGGTACCCCAATAGGGACTCTGTGTGGGGGCTCCAACCCCACATTTCCACATTTCCTTTCTGCACTGTCCTAGCAGAGGTTCCCCATGAGGGCCCCACCCCTGCAGCAAACTTCTGCGTAGACATGAAGGTGTTTCCATACATCTTCTGAAATCTAGGCAGAGGTTCCCAAACCCTAATTCTTGTCTTCTGTGTACCCACAGGCTCAGCACCACATGGAAGCTGCCAGGGCTTGGGGCTTGCACCCTCTGATGCTATGGCCCGAGCTTTACATTGGCCCTTTTCAGCCATGGCTGGAGTGGCTAAGATACAGGGCACCAAGTCCCTAGACTGAACACAGCACGGGGACTCTGGGCCCTGCCCACAAAACCATTTTTACCTCCTAGATCTCTGGGTCTGTGATGGGAGAGGCTGCTGCAAAGATCTCTGACATGCCCTGAAGACATTCCATTGTCTGAGGATTAACATTCAGTTCCTTGTTACTTATGCAAATCTCTGCAGTGAGCTTGAATTTCTCCTCAGAAAATGGGATTTCCTTTTCTATCTCATTGTCAGACTGCAAATTTTCCGAACTTTTATGCTCTGCTTTCCTTTAAACCTGAATGCCTTTAACAGCACCCAAGTCACATTTTGAATGCTTTGCTGCTTAGAAATTACTTCTGCCAGATATCCTAAATCATCTTTCTCAAGTTCAAAGTTCCACAGATCTCTAGGGCAGGGACAAAATGCTTCCAGTCTCTTTGCTAAAACATAACAAGAGTCACCTTTGCTCCAGTTCTCAACAAGTTCCTCCTCTCCATCTCAGACCACATTAGCCTGCATTTCATTGTCCATATCATTATCAGTATTTTTGTCAAAGCCATTCAACAAGTCTCTAGGAAGTTCCAAACTTTTCCACATTATCCTGTGTTCTTATGAACCTTCCAAACTGTACCAACCTCTGCCTGTTACCCAGTTCTAAGATAGCTTCCACATTTTCAGGTATCTTTTCAGCAACGCCCCACTCTTCTGGTACCAATTTACTGAGTTAGTCCCATTTTCACATTGCTGATAAAAACATACCCAAGAGTGGGAAGAAAAAAAGAGGTTTAATTGGACTTACAGTTCCACATGGCTGGGGAGGCCCCAGAATCATGGCAGAAAGGTGAAAGGCGCTTCTTTCATGGTGACGGTAAGATAAAATGAGGAAGATGCAAAAGCAGAAACCCTTGATAAAACTATCAGATCTCACGAGACTTATTCACACCATGAGAACAGTATGGGGGAAACCGCCCCCATGATTCAAATTATTTCCCACCAGGTCCTTCCCACCACACGTGGGAATTGTGGGAGTACAATTCAAGATGAGATTTGGGTGGGGACACAAAGCCAGACAATGTCACACTCATTCTTCTTGTTGATTACCAGTAACATCCTCCCATATCACCTGTATTCTTGCTAATAGTTACATTTATTTCAATCAATCAACAGTCACTCATGGGGAAGAAATGGCCACTTGTGTCACTCCCATATCCCTGGGCCCTTTGACGTGGATTCTTGTGCCTTCATGGGTTGGTGTCTCCTGGATCTGTGGGTAATGGATAGTTGTCCATTCCACATCCATAGTCTCAAATCCCAGGTCCATGATCTTTTCCTAACAGTCTCTCAAGGATTCTGACTCACTTCATCCTTTATCTTTTTATTGGACAACTGCGCTATGATTAGCAATGTCCAACTGAGTCCCCTAGAAGTCCTCTTTAAAGAATACACCTCTTTTTTTGTTCCTCTGAACTCACCAAGGAAACAAATTCCAGTAAAATACAGCAGAATGAAAAGCACTCAGTGTTTGAGAGGTCCAGGTTTTCCACAGTTCTGCTTAAAACCAGAGACAGAGCACTCTGATAATCGTGATTTTCATTGAATTCCTACACTTCAAGGTGGTGCTTTCTCTAGAAATTGCAAAACATAATCCATATCTTTCTCCTATCTGTGACTAAACTCAGGGCCTCAAAGCAATGTTAAATTTGTTTTATTTATATTTTTTATTGTTCTTTTAACATCTAGAATATAAACAAGCTCCTTGAGGAAAGAAATCATCTATTTTGTTCATACTCTATGCCTAGTGTCCAGAGTAAAGCCTGTACTTAAGGCTTTAATAACTAAATTAAAGCCTATTTAATAATAGGCTATTATTACCTATTTGAGTACCTATGTAATAGGTACTCAAGAAAATATTTTGAGTGAATGGATGAAAGAATCTCATAAAGCCTATGCATAAAATAATCATAGCTGATGTCTAGTGAATGTTCAGTTCATGTGAGATATTGTTATCTATGCTTCATGTGTTTGACTGTGTATGCTATTTAATCCTCAAAACAACACTGAAAGATAGGTACTGCTATTATTCCCATATTGCAGAAGAGACCACTGAGTCACAAAGAAACTTTCTAGACACGTGGCCATAAACCTAGTTAGCTGCACAGCCAGAATATAAACCCATGTTAGCTTGCTGCTGAGCCTGTTTTCTTACTATTTAGAACAATTATAAGTCCTAAAGAATGCAAAACGTGCAAACATGCAAAAAATTCACACATCTATACAAATGTATTTTCATAATCAATGATCATTGTGAACAGACAAAAATATTTTAAAGGTCAACATTTTAATAAACATAAGAAAAGCAGTCATGTTATATCTAACATTAAATTCATTTGCTAAGGTAAGCAAAAACAAAGATACAACACAAACATCTGGGCATTAAGATAGTCAAGTATACAGAAACACAATTGCAATTATTTTAGAGGGGAAAATATTATGTTTATTTTTATGAGAGAAAGAATTGAATCTAGTATTAAACGTCACATGTGAAAATATATAAAACATTGGAATTAGGAGACAGACAACATTTTCATAAGTATAAAAAGTAGTAAATTACCCATTAATGATAGTCAATGGCAAATTGATTCTAGAGTGTTGAGTTCATTTACGTAACTTGCAATTTTGATAAAGTCAAAATTCAAATGAAATATCTGTGCAAATAAATAATGTGAGATAAGATGACAAAATAAGGAAAACAAAAGGAAAGCTATAATATGAGTAATTTTGTATTATTGGAGAGAAAAACATATAAACCAGGACTAACCAAAAATATAAATGAAGAAGATATCATGATCCCAATAGCTATTAATAAAAGATGTAAGAAATAGTCATATCCCTGGATGAGCTTATTTTTAAAAAGGAACTATATATAGGTAAATCTTGAAATAGTATTTGGACCACAAAGAAAGCCAGAAGAGAAGAGAAGAAATACAGATTATCTGTGAAAGAACACAAGTCAGGTTTACTTCTACGTTCTTTACTGCATCAGTAAATAAGAGATGTACATGGAAAAAAATCTCTAATTTTGAAGGAAAAAAACTATAAATCAAGACTATTATATAAAACCAAGCTACATTTCACATCTAAATCAATAGAATGACTCTTCTAGATGATGAAGCATTAAAATTATATTTAGTACGTATACCATTCTTAAAAAAATAAACCAATATGTGCATAGAATAGAAGTAATATTATGAGCTCCAGAATGGAGAATTCATGAATTAGAGGACTTAAGACAAGCACTGAAAATTGCAAGTGTGTGTCTGTATATACACACATATATTTACATGTGTATTTTATACACACCCACACACACACAAACAATTGTTCTCAATCTTGTTCTTTAATATAAATTCCAAAATAAATCTTGGATGAAAGATATGTGAAACATAACATAAATTTTATAAGAAATAAAAAATTCAAGTGTATCAAAAAGCATTGGAGTATGTGTAAAGGGAGGAAAGAAAAGTGATGAAGGAAAAACAAAAGCAAATATAAACTACTTGTGTTAAAGAGATGTGATAGGAAGGAGATCATCTTATTCTTGACATCAACATTTAGAGAAACATAAATTAAACCAGACATGGTGGTATCTGATGCAAGAATAAGAAGGCAGATCAATAAAACAGGATCAAAAATTTTAAAACTACCAGGGAATATAATAAACTGAGCTTATGATAAAGGTGACATTTTATATCAGATGGAGAAAATGATGGATGTTTTAATGGATGCTTTGGGGACAAATGGCTATCCATTTAGAGAGAAAAGTAACATTAGACTCATATTGCACATCATACGTAATAGTAAGTGCCAAATAAATGAAAGCTTTAAATGTAAAAAATGCAACCATTTCTGGAAGAAAATATTATTGAAAAGACATCTAATCTTGGCACAGTAGAGCATGTCTAAGCAGGATAGCAGGGCATGAAAACAAAACAAAACAAAGGAGCTAAATGCAACAGTGCTAGACACAAACTTAAAACATTTGCAAGATGTATGACAAAGATTATGTCTCAAAATTTATGTTCTTACAATTTAGTAAACACATACAAATTGACCAATGGAAAAAAATTTTCAGAAAATTTACAAAAATAGGTATATAAAAGTCAAATAAACCTAGGGAAATGTTTTTAATCTCACAAGCAGTAAAAAAGTAGAATGTCTTTTGAATGTGGATTATAAGGATCATCATATATAATACCTCAATTTACAGTTTTTAGGGAATTTTTTTCTCTAGACTATAACTTCCTCCAATTATTTCTAAAGTTTCATAAAATCTATTACCCCAAAGGGACTTGTAATCATGGTGCTATGGTGTTAGGGGAAAATAAGGATTCTTGAAGTTATTTTTTATCAGACATTGACTTGGCAATATCAAAAGAAGCCAGCAAATCCAGGTGTCTAGAATTTGAACTGCCACGAAGTGAAATGTGTTAGTGAGTTTTAATGAATTAAATTATTAAATTATTTAAATTATTTATTATTTAAATTATTTAATTATTAAATTATTTTAGCGAATTTAATTATTAAACCACCTTGTTCTCAAAATGAAAGTTGGGCCTTTAAAGGGAAGTACATTTTTTGTCCTATTTTAAGTTCTATCCAGACCTCAGAAATATAATTACAGAATAAAAAATATAAGAAATGACAACAGAGAGAAAGCTCCACTCACATTCAACCCACTATCACTGCATTGCCTATATGGTACCCACTAGCCACAAGGAACTCTTCCAGTTTAAATTTATATTAATTTTAAATTTCTCTGTTATGAGAGCATATTTCAAATGCTTGATGGAGTTCAGGACACACTTCCCCAAAATAAGGCATCTTGATATTGAGAAAACAGCAGAAGCGGGAAGGTCATTCTCATCTTTCTTTAACTGTTTTCCTCTGAAGCAGGTCAGAAAACACTCATTTAAGATGTGCCCTTCCTGTACCCAGAGGATAGAAACATTCATATCCTTAAAGACACAGGGACACAGAGAAGAATATGAACAAACAGGCCTTGCTAATTCCCCCCAGTTTTTTATCATTAGATCAGACCTCATTTGTCCAATCATACTTCTCCATGACTATGCATTGATTCATCAAACCCGATCATAAAAATACCCTGTTAACCTCTTTCTTTGGGTTTTCATGTCCTTATGAAAGCTTCCGTGACATGCAAAACTTATTTTAAATAAGTTTGCATGCCTTTCCCTTGTTAATCTGTCTTTTGTTATAGGGTCCTCCATACATGATCCAAGTGATGGATGAGGAAAAGAAATATTTCCTCCTCTATATATTCAGTAAACATACAGGGCTACCATATTAAACAATACACATAGAGGACATTTTTATCATTGCAGAATGTTCTCTTGGCCAGCACTGCTCTATATAATACCTTTTTGTAGTCTCAGATCCAGGTAACCGTAACCATTCCAACATAAGGCTGCGGTGAACCTTGCACATATGTCTGTCATCTATTGAACCTATTTGTTCACATGTCTGTCTTCCTCACTAGATTCTAAGCTCCTTGCAGGTAAGGGACATGACTAATTTATCATTATGAATCTGTCACAGGACCTACCTCTTGAAAGCTGTGTAATAAGTGTTGATATAGAGAAATATTTGAAGGAAGACTGTATTATGAAATATCCTTAAGAGGGAATAAGAAAGGAGTAAATTAGTTCATCTTTTGTTGTTTCATCATCCTCTTAATCTCTTGTTTCTAAGGGAGGAGACCACCCCTCATATTGTCTTACACCCAGTTTCTGCCTCCAAAGAAAGAAGAAGTAAAAACTAAAAGGCAGAAATGAAATCCATAGGCAGACAGCCAGGCGCCGTGCCCTGGGCCTGGCAGTTAAAGACTGACCCCTGACCTAACTGGGTATGTTATCTATGGATTCCAGACATTGTATAGAAAATCATTGTAAAAATCCCTGTCCTGTTCTGTTCTGTTCTGTTCTGTTCTGTTCTGTTCTGATTACCAGTGCATGCAGCCCCCAGTCACGTACCCCCCCGCTTGCTCAATCGATCACGACTCTCTCACGTGGACCCCCTCACAGTTGTGAGCCCTTAAAAGGGACAGGAATTGCTCACGTGGGGAGCTCGGCTCTTGAGACAGGAGTCTTGCCAATGCTCCCGGCCGAATAAACCCCTTCCTTCTTTAACTCGGTGTCTAAGGGGGTTTGTCTGTGGCTCTTCCTGCTACATTTCTACCAGTTCAAAGAGTATCAATTGATTTTGAAACACCTCTAACATGGGAAAATAATCAATGTCTTTAAAAATATGTAAAAAAAAAAAGAAAGAATAAAAATTTTAAAAATTTTAAAAAACTTTAAGAACATTCCTGCATTTCACTTCAATCCTCCATTCAAATTCAAAGCAGGAGAAGGACATTTCCTCTGCCTTTAGTACTTCTAATTTCTACATTATGATAGAAGCCCCAATCTTTGTGTCCCATGCAAAATAAGGGTAAAAAAGGCATGACGTGCATGATTACATATCAATTATTCTTTATGATCTAGATAATCAAATACCATCTGGCAATTTGGAAAAAATTCAACCACAGTATCAAAAGTTGAATGCCAGAGTCAAATAAACTCTTACCCACTCATCAGTGTGCTCAGTCCCTCTGAGGTATTCCACTTAACCTGTGAAATGCCAGATTTGAAAAAGGAAGTAAAGTTGACTTTGAGTCACTGACCTAGTAGAAAATCATTTTCACCCATGTGTTAAATTTTGTCCTTGTGAGGACTAAAAACACTCAAAGGCAGGGACCCAGTTTCACAAGTAAAACAAAGAAATGATAATATGAGTTAAATGCAAATGACAACTGAATTCATTGTGATAACTGCCTGCTGCTGTTAATTAAAATGATGCTCAAAATTGTAAAAAGAACCACCTTAATGGCAACTGATAATAAAAACGGAGTCCCAGGAAATCTAAGGACATGTCTTAAGCCATCTGGCTACATCTCATGTTTTCTTTTTAAAAATTTATGCAAACTTTCCCTCAATTTCGTATGTGTATCTGCTGTTTTATTATCAAAGTAATGTTTTAAATTATTTACCAACAGGACAAAAAAATGGCTTACTTGTTTTGGTTAATGTAATAAAAACATTGCATGCAGTCTTTTCAATTTTTGGAAATTGTGCTGAATTGAAGAAAGCTGACACTCTACATCAGATTTAACATGCAGACAAGTTACCTGTTTTTACATCATTACGTATTTTGAGAACTCAGATGCATGCAAATATGTGGGTTTAAATAACATCATTTTAAACACTGTTTACAAGCCAAAGCAGAGTAATTACTAAAGAAACATGTGCAAAATTGCTGCTATAGAAATGTAAAATGAGAAAATGCTTTTATGTTGCTGTTAATGGAAATACCCGTGTTTGTCTTACCTTCTTTAGAGGTCAAATTGCTTGTGTCATATGATGAGCTAAAAGGATCTCTGATCCACTTTTGTCTGTGTTTTTGTAACACTATTTGAACTACAAGGGAAATATAAAAACACACACACACGGACTTCAAAAAGTTTATGGACAGAGCTAATTAAAAGATAAAAATAGAAAATATAAATTTTATTTCTCAACATAAGCTCTATCAAGTTCAAGACACTTTTGTAAGTGATAATACTAGCTATTTAGTCCATCCTTAAAAAACTGAGGGTCCTGGGAAATTAACCATGCCAATGCAGTCTTTTCTACATTATTAACAGATAAAAAATGGGTGCCCTTTACAGATTTTTTTAAGATTATGAAACAAAAAGAAGTCAGAAGAAGCCAAATCAGCACTGTGAGGTAGATGCCTAATGATTTCCCACTGAAATTCCCATAAAATCACCTTTGTTGCAGGAGCATTGTCATGGTGGAGAAAACCTCTCTGGTGAAGCTTTCCCAGGCATTTTTCTGCTGAAGTTTTAGCTAACTTTCTTAAAACACTCTCATAATAAGCAGATATTATTGTTCTGTGGCCTTCAAGAAAGCCAACAAGCAAGATGCCTTGAACATCCCCATAAATTGTTGCTATGACCTTTGCTGTTGATTGGTCTGTTTTTTTTCTCGGACTGAATCACTTCTACCTCTTGGTAGCCATTGCTTTGATGGTGATTTGTGTTCAAGATCTTACTGGTAAAGTCATGTGTCATCTCTTGGTACAATATTTTGAAAAAAAGCTTTAAGATCTTGATCCTATTTGTTTAAAATTTCCTTTGAAAGCTCTACTTTTGTCTGTAGCTTGTCTGGGTGCAATGGTTTTGGTACCCATTGAGTGAAAAGTTTGCTCAACTTTAATTTTTCCGTCAAAATTGTGTAGTTAGACCAATAGATTTATATAGTCAGGATTTCGTCATGTAATTTATTAACTATTACAGAAACACAAATAAGAATATCAAGTATTTCTCTGGCTCTTGACAGAAAAAAATCAGTTGACTTAACCCTTTGCTGTCAAAAGAGTTGGCGTTTCCTGTTCTGGGTGCTACTGCCAAACGTTCTGGTATTTGGAGTCGCGATGCACAACTTCAACCACCGACTTATCACTGCAGCCGCCTGTGTATTGCAATTGGCCGTTACCTTAAGCACTGAGCCACCCAGGTTTAGTTCAGCCATTTCAAGCAGTATATTTAACATCGGTAGTTCTGCTTTACTAAAATGCAACAGAGGTACTCTTCTGTCCCTTCCGTTTATACTTCTCTGAGAGAGTTCTATTTTGTGGTTTTGCTTTGTGTTTTCTTTTGCATTTTATATCTTGTATTTATCCCTGAACATGTCTTGTACTTTTTTTTTTAAGAAAAGGAATTCTTTTGTGTATATATAGATACTTGCATGATACACTGTAGTCAACGTTCTGTTCCTCAAAAGGTCTTGCTGCTGTCAGGTGTTACGCAGTCCATCCATCATAACTGTATGAAACACATTTCATATGTAAATAAACGTGGGACATTTGGCCCTTGTGAAAAAAAAAATTGTGAACCAGTAGTTATGTTTATGGTGTTGGCTATTGTTTCTGCTGTTAGTCTTTGGTCCTCTTCAATTAGGGCATGAACCGGATACAGTTTTTTTTTCTTGCAAATTGATGTGGATGGTCTGCTCTTAAGGGCTTAATCTTCAACATTGTCTCCTCCTTTCTTAAAATGAGTTATCCATTTGGAAATTGCTGATTTCTTTGGGGCATTGTTCTCATAAATGTTTTGTAAAGAATCAGTGATTTCACCATTCTTCCAACCAAACTTCACCTAAGTTTGGTGTTTGTTCTTGCTTTGATTTTAGCAGAATTCATGTTGCTCTGATGAGGGCTGTTTTCAAACTTGTGTCTCAGCCTTCTTAGTGCCTCAAAATGGGTCCTGTTTAGACATAACAAGTTATGACAACTTTATTTTGATCCAAAACATTGAAAACTATGGACACTTTTGTTATAATACACATTTTCCATGAACTTTCTGACAACCTCCCGTGTGTGTGTGTGTGTGTGTGTGTGTGTACAAAAAACCTTAGTGATCTACAAAAGAACACAAATGAGGTTCGTTTGTGTTTACTGTAATGAATAAAATGTTTACTGTCTTGAGGAGAAAAAACTGAGAATAAATGTGATTGATGATTATGCCCTTTGTATTTCCACCAGTGTCATAAATTTCAACCCTGGGTAATGGGTTGAATTTCGGATGATTAACAGTCACTAAGAACAAATCTCTCTAATTCTAAAATTTCATTTTTAGTTTGTAGAATAGTGTCTGGCACGTAATAGGTCTCAATAAATGTTTTAAATATGTCAATAATAGAAATTCTAATATGTGCAATAAAATATGCAAAGTTTATGCTTTAAATAAGTTCCTGTTTTTGGCCTCAAATTATATCTACAAATGTTAAAGAAAAAAACAGGCCAGACAATAGTTAAAGCAGTAAAAGCAGATTTTTTTTCAGTACTATTGCAATAAGGGAAAAAAATACCTCAGCATAGAACTGAGCTTGATTTGTAATAGAACAAAGAAAAGTGGGGATTTAAAGCCCATGAGTAGAATGGGGGTCAGTGGATGAAAAATTATTAAGAGGAAATATCAAGAGTAAGGGGTGATTTTGACTGCATTTACTTGACAGGATTCTTGCTGAAGTTGGGGATTGCAAAAATGAACACAGAAACCCAGAGGTCAAGACCTAGTTGGAAGAAGGTTCAAAAGAGCCTGAATAATGTTTGATCAAGCAGGGAGTCTTTGTCACTAAATAAACCAACATTGGGAACAATGTGTTGCTGTAATGATGTATTGACTCTACCTTGGTTTATACCAACTGTGATGCATTTCATTTGTCCTGGATGGACAGTAACAATTCATTCATGTGTTCAAGGCTTTCATTTCTACCTTCAGCCAGCCATAACATTTACATGGATTTGGCACAAGCTTGCAATATCTTTCCAATCCCATTACACTGTGGCCTAAATAGATGTCTGTTCACAATTTATTCATCTCATTAATCATACTTTAAAAGAAAGAGCAAATTCTTTGTGTGATGAATAATCGGAATTGAGCTAGCATTCGTACGATTGGGCTTGTCAAGGGTAGGGGCTATCTATGCACACCTTTTCTATCTTATTATTCATAACATAATATTTTGCACCCTACCCCTCTAAAAAACACATGCTTATTAATTATTTGTTTATCATTAAGCTCTTTGGAAATTACGACAGAGAATTATCTTAACATGACTATCATGAACTACATGTTTGTGCTCCCTCCTTCAAATTCATATGTCAAAGCCCTAATCCCCATTGTGATGGTATTTGGAGATGGAGCCTTTAGGAAGTAATTAGGTTAGAAGGGTGGAGCCCTTATAATAGGATTCATTACCTTATAACATAAGAACATGTGACATTTTGCTTTTCCCTCTACTCCCTGTCATCTGTGCAATAAAGAAAATAGCTGTCTGCAAACCATGAAAGGAGCCCTAACCAAGAACAGAATCTGCCCATACTTTAATCTTGGACTTCCTGGTTCCCAGAACTGTAAGAAACTGTTGATACCATCCAGTCTATGGTAATTTGTTATAACAGCTGGAGCAGATTAAGACAATAAGTTACTCAACCAGTTGTTTAAGTTGTTCTTTTGAGTTTAATTTTTCTAAAAAAAAAGTTGGTCTTTTTCTTTCTCTTGAATCAAGGCATCTTTTACTCTGCACAGCCCAGGAATGTATCAAGTGTCTACATCTGACTCCATAAAGCAAGTCTGAAAAGAAACTTGAGGGAAACTTTTAATACTATTTATTTTGTTTTCTTATACTATTCTTCAGCCAGACTTCTCTTATTGAAAAGTTATAAAAATTTCACTGATTTCTTTAAATTTTATGGCTGCTTTTAAAATATTATGTAAGAATCATGGTCCTTGCATTACTGTTCAGGACATTTTTTTAAAAACACACACTTTCTTGCATTGTTATTAAAATACACACACATGCACACACACATTTTAAGCAAGCATGTATTTACTTCATAAGACAAGGGTAGTGACTGCTTTTGCTGCTAACTGCCAATTTACTATTTCGTTAAGTACCATCATCTTCTTTACTACCTAGGCAACTGTGAAGAGGTAAAGAAAAAAAATCCTGCCTACTACAAAACTAGATGATTTTAGTTCGTTCTGTGTTTCTTCATTATGTTGTGTGTTTTCAATGGAATAGAAATCTTATGCTTCAAAATTTCTTTATATAACTTCTGTTATGGTCTAATTAAATGTAATTTTTAAATTTCTAATGTAAAAAGCATAGATTTTATTTAATATCTCCCCTCTGAGAGGTTCTCCCTGAGAGAAAAAACATGAATTTGCTGAAGATATTTGATGTATAAAGCTGACCGGGCTGGTTTCAAACTCCTGACCTCAAGCGATTCTCCCACTACAGCCTCTCCAAGTGTTGGGATTACAGGCATGAGCCACCATGCCTGGCCTGATGTATGAAGTTTTAATGACACTTCAAGCACGAAGACCTAGTGGGGGATATAAAGCTCTGTGCTTCGAGAGAGTGGTTCTCCTCCCTCCAGGAATGGTATGTGGGAAATGATATGTGGAAAGCCTGAAGGTTCCTGAGGAGTACCAGATCTGCCATAACTACCTACACAAAGAACAACAGTTCTTTCAGTGGATTCCAGGGACTCAAATAGTAGTACATGGCACTGTGTAGTGTGTCTTAATTGCATCAAGTTACCTAAGAAAAATGGTCAGGGAGTCCCCTCTTTGATGGCCCTAAAAGAATGATGATATTGGTATGTTAAAGCATGGAAAGGTCTTCAACAGCCAGGCTGCAAATCCGTAAGAATTCACCAGTTAATTCACACCATACCACTACAGACCTGTCACAACTTTAAGTCTAACGTAGTGTCTGTGCTACATTCAAATACCACACCGTAACTCTTTGTCTATTGCTGTTACAACACTTCCCATCAATTAGTAATTGCAAACAACTGTTTTATTTGCTCATGATTAGGCACTCTGGGCTCAGCTGGGTAGTTATGGTGTTCTCGCCATTTGTCATCCTTATAGCTATACTCAGCTATTGCATCAGCTGAGAACTGGTCACAGCTGAGATTTGGGGTCAGTTGGGCTTTTCTTTCTTTTGGTGTACTCTCTGAGCTTGTCTCACATTAACTGATCTCTCTAGCAATGCAGAAGGACTTTATATTTGGAGGATGCCGTATATAAATGCCAAGAGTATGAAAGAGGAAACTGCCAGGCATTGTTAAGGTTAGTTCTGGAAATGGTACAACATCACTTCTGTGATATTCCTTTTTTTAAAAAAATTCAAAACAGGATCTTGCTCTGTTGCCCGGGCTGGAGTGCAGGGGTACAATCATTGCTCACCATATCCTAGAACTCCTAGCCTCAAGCAATCCTCCTGCCTCAGCCTCCCAAATTGCTGGATTATGGGCATGATCAACTGCACCCAGCCTGTGATATTCTTTAAGTTAAAGCAGATCCTAAGCCCACCTTAATTCAAGGAGAGTTGATGACTCAAGAGGATGTATGCCAGAAAGTGTCACTTCTTATGGGCCAGTAACAGTCTGTCATAGAAACAAAATCCCATCAGGTATCATGCAATGGTAAACCTTTATTGGAATATAGTAATAGCTGTCTGCTAAAATAAACATTTTTTTCTAGGGAGACTCCTACCAATGAAAATTTCAGTTGAATATGTATCTGTAAGAATAAACTTTGAAAATAAAAATAAGAATTGACACTAAAATTATACAAACTTGCCAAAAAATAAGATGTTTTTATTATTAAAAACTCCTGTGCAGAAAGTGATTGCCTGTTTAACTTTTTTTTTTTTATTTTAAGTAGCTCCAGGAGGTTGGCAAAGAAATTTCTTGAAACCAATTTAATTGTCATGTAAATGAAACTGGGAAAAAAAAGTTCATAAGTCAACAAATTCATTTTTCTAAAAACAACCATGCTGGCTGCCACCAGGGACTAGGAATTTTAATTGCAAATCTCTTGCCTTGGCTGACTAGCACTAATGGAGCTAGCTAGTGACATTAATGTGTTCTTACTAAGGTACTATGTTGCATTTACATCAACATAAATGTACCGGTAATAACATGAGTTATCTGATAATAAAAATGAGTAAATTTTCCAATTACTGCACATGATTTTTTCCTACTTTTGAGGAGTCCACAGTGTTTCCTGAGAGTGACCTATATCATTATAATTTTCTTCAAGTTATTAGTTGTTTTTAATTTTTCCAACAGTTTTTAATAAAGTCGACACCCAGGAAATTATAAGTCTATAATTTTACATGCCCATAGCTCACCAATAAGTAGTGTGGTTGACCTCAGCTTGAAACTTACAGTAGTTCAGAGACTTTCCCTTCCATATCTGGAAGAACAAAGAGGAAAATTTAATATTTTTAACTAATAAATTGTGTCATTTCTGTTTTAATCTTCCTTTATTCTTCTCTTCCCAGACCTAGTGGTTGTCTATGTTTAGATGGCTTTTGTAGATTATTTTGGGTAAGTTATGAATTAAGATAATAATTAAAGCTATTTTAAATCCTTAATTCAAAGATAATTATAAAATAGAAATATATCTAAAACCTAACTTTTCCTGTTAAAGAGTAGATAAAAAAAACATTCATCTTGTTATAAGGACTATAAGTTTGCAATTTCAGAGCCAGGAAATCTCTTACTTAACTTTATAAAGTCCTTTAATTTAAGTATGCAATAATTGACCTCTACACAACAATGTGATAGACTATTCAAGACAAAAACAACCAAACGTAACTTCTCTCCTCGTAAGAGCTACTGGAATGTACTAGTTTAGAAAGTGCTAGAAAAGACTTTTTTTCCCCAATATGTAATTAATGGATTCAAGTTGCTTTTATATTTTGGGCCATATGTAACATGAATTTCAAAGTAATTAACATTGAGTACATATATGCTCAGATTTATTTTTTATATTTGCATAAATTTATGGAAGACAAGTATAATTTTGTTACATGCATAGATTGCATAATGGTGAAGCCAGGGCTTTTATGCCATATATCACCTGAATAATGTACACTGTACCCATTAATTTCTCATCCATCCCCCTGTAATCCCACCACCATTCCAAGTCTTCATTGACTATGATTCCATAGCCTATGTCCTTGTGTATGTATTATTTAGCTTCCACTTATAAGTAAGAACATATGATATTTGTCTTTCTGGGTCTGAGTTGTTTCACTTAAGATAATGGCCTCTGGTTCCATCCATGTTGCTGCAAAAGACATCACTACATTTTCTTAATGGCTGAAGAGTATTCCATTGTGTGTGTGTGTGTGTGTGTGTGTGTATATATATATATATATATATATATCTCACATTTTCTTTATCTATTCAACTATTGATGGACTTAGGTTGATTCTATATCTTTGCTATTATGAATAGTGCTGCACTAAACATATGGATTCAGGTGTCTTTTTGATAAGATGATTTCTTTTCCTTTGGGTAGATACCCATCAGTGGGATTACTGGGTCGAATGGTAGGTCTATTTTTAGTTCTTTGAGAAATTGCCATACAGTTTTCTATAGAGGTTGTACTAATTTATATTCCCACCAAAAGTGTCTATGAGTTCTCTTTTCTCCACATTCTCACCAACATCAGTTATTTTTTGTCTTTTTAATCACAGCCATTCTGACTGGTGTAAGAGATCTCATTGTGGTTTTGTATTGTATTTCTCTGATGATTAATGATGAGCCTTTTTTTTATATATATACCTCTTGGCTATTTGTATGTCTTCTTTTGAAAAATATCTTTTCATTTTCTTTACCCACTTTTTAAAGTTTTTTGTTGCTATTGTTGAGTTGTTGGAGTTCCTTGTAAATTCTGGATATTCATCCCCTGTGGATATATAGTTTGTAAATATTTTCTCCCATTTCACAAGTTGGCTTTTCATACTATTGATTATTTATTTTGTTAGGCAAAAGTGTATTAGTTAAGTCCCACTTACCAATTATTTGTTGTTGTTGCCTGTGCTTTTGAGGTCCAAGTCATGAATTTTTTGCCTATACCAATGTCCACATAAGTTTTTCCAAGGTCGCGTTCTAGTGTTTACATTAAAACTATAGCTTCAGTTCTTACATTTAAGTCTTTAATTCATCTTGAGTTGATTTTTGTATATGGTGAGAGATACGGGCCCAGTTTAATTCTTATGCATGTGGCAATCCAATTTTCCCTGCACCATGTATTTAAAAGGGTATCATTTCCCCAGTTTATATTCTTGTCAACTTTGTCAAGAATATAACTTTGTCAAGTCCTGTAAATATGTGGTATCTCAGTTATCTCTTCTGTTACATTGATTTTTGTGTCTAGTTTTATACCAGTACCATTCTGTTTTGGTTACTATAGCCTTGTAGCATAATTTGAAATCAGGTGTGAAGTAACATAATGCCTCCAGCTTTGTTCTTTTTCCTGGAATTGCTTTGGTTATTCAGGCTCTTTTTTGGTTCCATATGAATTTTAGGATTGTTTTTTCTAATTCTGTGAAAAATGATGTCTGTATTTTGATAGGGATTGCATTGAATTTTTACATTGCTTTGGGTAGTAAGGTAATTTTAATGATATTAATTCTTCTAAGTAATGAGCATGGAATGTTTTTCCATATGTTTGTGTCATCTACAATTTCTTTCATCAGTGTTTTGTAAAGTTTTCATTGTAGATATTTCACTTCATGGGTTAAATATATTTCTAGGTATTTTTTTGTAGCTATTGGAAATGGGATTACCTTCAAGATCTTGTTCTCAGCTAGGTTGGTATTTAAAAACACTACCGATTTTTATATGCTAATATTGTATCTTGAAAGTTTACAAATTCATTGCTCAAATCTAAGAGTTTTTTGGTGCAGTCTTTAGGTTTTGCTAGCTTTAAGATTGGATCATCAATTAACAGAGATAATTTGACTTCCTCTTTTCCAATTTAGATGCACTTTATTTATTTCTCTGGGCCGACTGATCTAACTAGGATTTTCAGTACTGTGTTAAACATGAGTGGTGAATGTGGGCATCCTTGTCTTGTTCCAGTTCTTAGAGGGAATGATTTCAACTTTTCTCTATGATTTTGGATACGATTTTCAGGTATGTTTCTTCTATGCCCAGTTAGTTGAGGGTTTCTACCATGAAGGATGCTGAATTTTATTAAATACTTTTACTTCATCTATTTAGATGATAATATGGCTTTTATCCTTAATTCTGTTTACATGATCTATCACATTTAGTGACTTGCATGTGTTAAACCATGCTTGCAGAGATGGTATAAAACCCATTTGATAATATTATGTTATTATTTTTGATGTGCTGTTGGAATGAGTTTGCTAGTATTTTGTTAAGGATTTTTGCATCTGTGTTCATCAGGGACATCAGTCTGTTGTTTTGTTGTTGTTGTTCTGTCCTGTCCTGGATTTGGTATCAGGGTTATACTGGTATTATAGAATGAGTTAGAGAAAATTTCCTGCTTCTTGATTTTTTAGAAAAGTTTCATGGAATTGTTATTAGTTCTTTTTTGTACCTTTGGTATAAATTCAGCTGTGAATCTACCTGGTCCTGGGTTATTTTTTGTAGAAGATTTTTTATTACTGATTCAATCTTACTGTTCAGTATTCAGAATTTGTATGTCTTCCTGGTTCAATCTGAGGAGGTTGTATATTTCTAAGAATTTATTCATTTTCTTTAGGCTTTCCAGTTTGTGGGTATATAATTTTTCTTACTAGAACCTGATTATTATTTATATTTCTTTAATATCAGTTGTGATATCTACTTTTACATTTCTGATTTTGTTTATTTGTATATTCTCTATTATTTTGGTTACTCTAGCTAGCGGTTTATCAATTTTGTTGATCTTTTTGAAGAGCTAACATTTTGATTCATATATCCTTTGTTTTTTTTGGTCTCTATTTCATTTAATTCTGCACTGATGTTTGGTATTTCTTTTGCTCTGCTAATTTTGATTTTGGTTTGTTCTTGCTTTTCTAGTTCCTCGATATGAGGTTGTTAATTTATTATCTTTTTAGTTTTTTGCTGTAGTCATTTAACTATAAACTTCCCTCTTAGCACTGCTTTTGCTGTATCACATAGGTTTTGATATGTTGTGTTTTCATTTTCATTTGTTTCAAACACTTTTAAAGTTTCTGTCTTAATTTCTTTGTTGACCCAATGATCATTTGGAGGCATGTTGTTTAGTTTCCATACATTTGTATAGTTCGTGAAGTCCCACTTGGTACTAATTCCTAGTTTAGTCTGTAGTCTGAGAAGATATTTGATATGTTTTTGATTTTTTAAAATTTATTGAGACTTCTTTTGTGTTCTAACATATGGTCTATCCTGAATAATGTTTAATGTGCTGATAAGAATGTATATACTGCAGTTGTTAGGTAGAATGTTCTATAAATGTCTTTTAGGTCAATTTGATATAAAAATCAATTTAATTCCATTGTCACTTTGTTAACATTTTGTTTCAATATCTGTCTAATGCCATTACTGTCTATTTCTTTTTTTAGATCTAGTAATATTTGTTTTATGAATCTGGCTGCTCTAATGTTTGGTGCATATATATTTAGAATTGGGATATCCTCTTGTTGAATTAACACCTTTTCTCATTATATAATGACTTTTTTCTCTTTGTTCTATTTTTTATTTAAAGTTTATTTTATCCGACATAAGTATAGCTACTCCTGTTCACTTTTGGTTTCTGTTCATGTGGAATATCTTTTACCATTTTTATTTTTATTTTCAGTCTATATGTTTCTTTACAGATAAAGCAACTTTCTTGTAAACAGCATATAATTGGATCATTTTTGTAAATTCATTCCACCAGTATGTACCTTTAAAGTGGAGCATTTAATTCATCTACACTCAAGGTTAATATTGAGATGTCAGGTTTTGTTCCTGCCTTATTGTTTATTGTTTATTGTTTTCTAGTAGTTATATACTTCTTTACATTTTTTCTCTGTAATTTGATAGAATTCTGTCATTTGCCATTTGATTTTTTTTCTCTTCCTCCTTTGTGTGATTGCTTCATAAGACATGTGTTTTATACTTCTGTATGTTTTTACAGTGGTGAATATCAAGCTTTCATTTTTGTGTTTAGGACTCCTTTGAGCATTTTTTGTAGTGCTGGTCTAGTGATGACAAATTCCCTCAGTGCTTGCTTGCCTGGAAAAGACTTTATTTCTCCTTCATTTATGAAGCTAATTTTTTATTCTTTAGCACTTTGAAAATGTCAATCTGTTCTGTTCTGGCATGTACAGCTTCTGCTGAGAAGTCTGCTGTTAATCTGATGGGTTTTCCTTTATAAATAACTAGATGCTTTTCCCTTGCTGACTTCATAATTCCTTTCTTCACTTTAACTTCAGACAGTCTGATTATACTATGGCATGTTGAAGTTTTTTTGTTTTCTTTTGTTTTGTTTTGTTTTGAGACGGTGTCTCGCACTCTTGCCCAGGCTGGAGTGCAGTGGCACCATCTTGGCTCACTGCAAGCTCCACATCCCGGGTTCACACCATTCTCCTGCCTCAGCCTCCCAAGTAGCTGGGACTACAGGCGCCTGCCACCATGCCTGGCTAATTTTTTGTATTTTTAGTAGAGATGGGGTTTCACCGTGTTAGCCAGGATGGTCTCAATCTCCTGACCTTGTGATCTGCCCACCTTGGCCTCCCAAAGTGCTGGGATTACAGGCATGAGCCACCGCACCTGGCCTGAAGTTCTTTTTGCAATGTGTTTTCTGGGATCACTGGGCATCCTGTATCTGGATTTCTAAATCTCTTACTAGACTTGGAAAGTTTTCATCAATTATTTCCATAAATAGATTTTCTAAACTTTTTAATTTTTCCCCCTTGGAAATACTGATAATTCATAAGTTTGGTTGTTTTATGTAGTCCCAAGCATCTTGAAGGCTTTGTTCATTCTTTTGTTTTGTTTTGTTTTGTTTTGTTTTGTTTTGTGATGGAGTCTTTCTCTGTCACCCAGGCTGGAGTGCAGTGGTGCAGTCTTGGCACACTGCAACCTCTGCCTCCTGGGTTCAACCAATTCTCCCTGCCTCAGCCTCCCAAGTAGCTGGGATTACAGGCGCCCACCACAACACATGGCTAATTTTTGTATTTTTTAGTAGAGATGGGGTTTTGCCATTTTGGCCAGACTGGTCTTGAACTCCTGACCTCAGGTGATCCACCAGCCTTGGCTTCCCAGAGTGCTGGGATTACAGGCGTGATCCACCATGCTTGGCCTGTTCATTCTTTTTTGTTCTTTTTTCTTAATTTTAGTCAGACTGGATCTATCTTAAAGTTCTGAGTTTTTTTTCTGCTACTTGGTTTAGTTAGTGTTGAAGCTTTTGAATGATTTTATAATTCCTTCAATAAATTTTTCAGGTCCAGAATTTGTTTAATAACTATCTCCTTCATGAATTTCTTGTTCATATCCTGAATTGATTTTCTGATTTCTTTGTATTGATTGTCACACTTCTCTTGCACATCATTAAGCATGGTTAAAATAAATATCTTGAATTCTTTATTTGGAATTTGTTTACTCAGATTTTTAAAAGGCTCACTCTTCACTTATTCAAGTTTTTGCTTAAATAGCACTTTCTTAACCAGAACTTCTCTGATGACAGGTAAGCTTTTCCATACATACATTTTTACCAATTTTGACAATCATTAGTGCTTGCATTAGTTTCCTAGGTCTGTCTTAACCAAGTACTACAAACTTTGTGGCTTACAAAAACAAAATTTATTTTTTCTCACTCCTGGAGGAGTCTTCAGAGTTGGATCTTTCTAAGGGTTCTCTGGAAAAAATCTCTTTCATACCTTTCTCTTAGCTTCTGGTGACAACTGGCACTCTTTGGCATTCCTTGGATTTTAGATGCATCACTCCAACTTCTGCTTGTATTTTCACATGACATTCCCTCTATGCTTCTGTGTCCAAATGCTCCTTTTCTTGTAAGGACAACAGTCATATTAAATTAAGGCCCATTCTAATGATTTCGTATCAACATTATTATATCTACAAAGATCTTATTTGTCAATATGGTCATATGTATAGGTATCAGGGGTGCTATGGTTTAGATCTGTGTTTCCACCCAAATTTTATGTCACATTTTAATTCCCAGTGTTGGAGATGGGGTCTTGTTTGAGGTGATTGGACCATGGGGGTCAATTTTTCATGAACGATTTAGGAGCAACCACTGGTTCTGTTCTCTTGATAGTGAGTGAGTTCTCATGATGTCTTCTTCTTTAAAAGTGTATAGCATCTCCCCCTTCTCTCTTGCTCCTACTCTGGCCATATAGCATGTATGTTCCCCATTCACCTTCTGCCATGATTGTAAGTTTCCTGAAGCCTCCCCTGAAGCCAAGCAGATTCCGGCATCATGCTTCCTGTACAGCCTGTGGAACCATGAGCCAATTTAACTTCTTTTCTTTATAAATTACCCAGTTTCGGGTATTTCTGTATAGCAGTACAGAAATGCAAGGGGTTAAGAGTTTCAGCATTTCATTCAACTTATAATAGTACTACTCACCTAAAAGTTTCCAATTCTCCCCATTTCTATCCTTTGGAAGCATTGTATGCCTGGCTCTTTATATTGGATTGTGGGTATAAAATTGATATATTTATTTCCAGGGCAGATTATTTAATTGTCTTTTTAAAATTTTAATAGACACAAAATAATTATACATATTTATTGGGTAATATGTAATATTTTTATATATGTATATACTGTATAATGATTAAATCAGAGTAATTAGCATATCTATCACTTCAAGCATGTATCATTTCTTCATGGTGGGAGCATTCTAAATCCTCTTTTTTAGCTGTTATGAGCTATCTTATTGTTGACTATGGTTGACTACTGTGTGATAGAATATCAGAATTTATTTCTCCTTATAAGGGGTAACTTTTTATCCCTTAGCCAACTTTTTCCTATCTTTATTCCACCCTCCCATCCTCAGTCTCTGTTAACCACTGTTCTAGTTACTACTTCTGTGAGATCAACATTTTAGACTCCACATGAGTGAGATCATGAGGTATTTGTCTTTTGGTGCCTGGTTTATCTCACTTAACATAATAAAGAAAAAACCTATACAATGGGAGAAAATATTTGCAAACCATATATCTTACAAAAGGCTAATATCCAGAATGTCTAAGGAACTCAAATAACTCAAGGGCCAACAAAAATAATCTGATTTAAAAATGGACAAAACACCTTAATACACATTTCTCAAAAGAAGACATATATGACATATACCAACAGATATATGAAAAATATGTTCAACATGACTAATCATTAAGGACATTTAAATTAACAACAAAATGAGATATCACCTCACTCCAGTAGTAGTCAAATGTCTTTTGGCTATTACCAAAAAGACAAAAGATAGTAAGTATTGGTTATTGGTGAGGATGTAGAGAAAAGGGAACCCTTGCACACTGTTGGTCAGAAGGTAAACTAGCACAGCCATTATGGAAAATATTCCTAAAAAAATCATAGAATTACCATATGATCCAGCAATTCCAATTCTGGGTATATATCCAAAGGAAATTAAATCAGTAAGTTCAAAGAGATATCTGCATTCCCATGATATTGCAGCACTATTCATATAGCCAAGATAAGAAACAACTTAAGTGTTTAACAATGGGTAAACAGATTAAAAATTCCTATGGTATATATACACAATGGAATGCTATATAGCCATAAAAAAGAACAAAATCTTGTTTGGGAACATCATAGGTGAACCTGTAGGACAAGTGAAATTGTCTTTTTAATACCTTTCTAGAATTTGCTTTTTTTCTTGAACATTGCACACATCAATATTTGAGGTGGTAATTGCTCTCTCAATCTCAGTTCTTGAGTGACTTTTAAAGAGCAGAGCCCTCCTAGGTACACGAAGGATTTGTAGCATGAGGAAGAAATAGTTCTTCAGATTTTAAGCTTCCATGATTTTAGATTTAGTTTGTTACTGCTGGTTATTCTGGCCAACATACTTGCTTTATCTTCTTAGCTCCTGAATAGACATTTACAACATGCACTTCTTTCATTATCTTTCATTACCAGCATCCAATTTCAATGTGACAAAAAAATGTATCTGCCTTGTTTCCTATTGTTCCTAGTGCTTAAAAGAAAGGTCACAATAATAGGTAATCAATTAAAATTTGGTGTATGTATTAATGTATAGACAAAATAATTAGTAGATATATGGTACTGATTACATTTTTTTATTATATTAAGTATTGTATTCTTTGTGTTTTATTAAGCTTTTAGTTATGTTTTCAAGGTTAAATTTTGATTTTCTAATAATTACAAACTGGATTTCATTTTGGATAAAGCATAGATTTAGGAGACAGTCAATGTTAGAATTGAATACTGGTTTTACTAATTAAGAGCTGTGTGACTTTGGTTAAGGTATTGATTCACTCTAAACCATGTTACTTATCAGTAAGCTGTAATTAATGGAATTGTCAATTATATATAAGAATTGAGTAAAATAATTTAAGGTAAGTAGGCAATAAATTATATTCTTCTTTCCTCTTTATACTTCATTGTGTTTCTCTTCCCTTCAAAATGCTTAGAATAATGAACAGCATATAAAAATAACTGAAAATATTTCTTGTTTATAATTATTGATAAAAATAAATGCTGGGCATGGTGGCTCACGCCTGTAATCCCAGCATTTTGGGAGGCCGAGGTGGGTTGATCATGAGGTCAAGAGATCGAGACCGTCCTGGCCAACATGGCGAAACCCCGTCTCTACTAAAAATACAAAAATTAGCCGGGCATGGTGGTGCACACCTGTAGTCCCAGCTACTCAAGAGGCTGAGGCAGGAGAATTGCTTGAATCTGCGAGGTGGAGGTTGCAGTGAGCCGAGATTGCACCACTGCACTCCAGCCTGGCAATAGAGTGAGATTCCAACTCAATCAATCAATCAATCAATCAATAAAACTATTTGGAAGTATCTAATTCCTTTTTGGTTAAATTAAACTCATTATTATAAGTTCACAAATTATAATTTCCCATTACATAGTTTCTTCATTAGAAACAATATCAGTAAAAATTATTTTGTAACTTACATTCTAATTAAGTCTGTCTTACAGATACACATCATGTACACTCATTTTATTATTTTGTACGTAGGATTTTTTAAATGGATTTTTAAGTAGTTTGTGGCATGTTCACTTGCTTCATAAAGAGACAGTAGACTAAAGGCAAATGGATGATTTCCTGATCTATTTTATTCAGAAACTTATTTGTGTGTTAATTACTCTTTTAGCTATATGATGAGAGGGAGCAAAGATAATTGACCTTAAAAGTTAGAATTGCACATTTTTCACTGGGATCCTTATTTTTATATATTTAATACATGGAAATAGAGGTAGCTAGGAGTTCAAATCCTGAATCTTCAAATAGTAACCTTTTTACCAATTCATAATCAAAAGGGAAATACGCAGGAAAAGACTCTGGGAAAATTCACTAATGTTATTACCTTTCAAAAATTTAAATAAATAAAAAATGTTTTATTTGTTACTACAAACTACTACAAAACCCTTATGAGAACTCCACACTATGATGAGTTAGGCTAGATTGCAATCAAGTACTAAGAATTATTTTTAACCTTGTTACCTTACACTTAGTCTAGAAGCAAACAGATTTCTTGAAACCTTTTTCCTAGACCTTCAGTGCTATCCCTAGAACTCTATCAGTCAAATAGTGAGAAGTACTACACAAAAAAATTCAAAGAAAATACTGCCAAAAGAGAGATACCTAGTAACTCTAAAATCTAGGGTAGAACTGGCCTAAATATATATTTCCAACATAAACCCAACATATTATTTTTCCATTGTTTCAATAACAAATACTAAAAACTTAATGGCTTAAAAGAACACAAATTTATTATCTCACAATTCTATAAGTGAGAAGCCCAAGGGAGCTCTCATAATTCCTCTGATTTGGGTCTCTTCGGGCTGACATCAACATGGTAGCTAGCCTGGGTTTTTATCAGAAGGCTCTGGGAAGAATCTGCTCCCAAGCACATTCAAATTATTGGCAGAATTCAGTTCTTTTTGTTTGTAAGGTTGAAGTCCCCATCATCCTCTTATTGACTTTCAGCTAGAAGCGTCTCTCAACTCTTTATGGTCATCAGCATTCCTCAAGTTCCACACCTCATTTTCACACTAAAAACTACACACCAAGTCCTTCTCATAATCTTTATCTTTCTAACTTCTCCCTTATGCCACATCTCTTCTGACTCTAGCCTGAGAAAGATCTCTGCTTTTAGGGGCTCATGTAATTAGACTGGGCTCAGCTAGAATAAACCAGAATAATTTCCTTATTTAAAGTTTGTAACATTAATTACATCTATGAACTTCCTACTGCAAAATAACATAACATATTCACGGGTTGAGGGGATTAAGACATGAACATCTTTGGAAGGCCTTTATTCAACCTATAATACCGTTTTCAAATAATCCAAAGTGAATATGTACTAATTTGTCACAGTAATATTGCTCTCTTCTCAGACCTTAACTCAAATATTACCGTGGCTTTAATTAATACCATCCTTCCTTATCATTAGTAATGAACCTGGAGTAAAGCTTTGAGTTTACTTTTCACATTTATTAAACTATAAACTTTAGTAAACATAACTATTTGAAGTACAGTGACAGAATTTGTAAATGAAACAATATTAATCCCATTAATACAAGCTACTTTTGAGTGATGAATTGGTGATAGACAGTTCCATGAGATCACACACACATATAGTAACTAAATACATTTCCACTTTTTTCATCATGCTTTTATGGATTAGGGTAATATAACCTTTAATATAAATCCATTATCAGATGATTTCAATGCTTTTCTTATAAGATATTTTAAAGGAATTAATTATCAAAAGTGTAAAACTTATGTATCCATTAAGTTCTCATTTCATTTGTTCAATATTTTTCACATTAACTTTGCGCCAATCTCTAGGTATGTAATATATGACAGCTATGCTCCTTGGGCTCAAGGAGTATATAGTCTTACATGGAACATAGATATTTAAAATATTTAACAGATATTTTTGTGAGTGATGAATATTTTATTGGAAAAGGGCAGGATGCTGTAGTGGTAAATAACAATAGCAATTAATGTAATCTTAGGACTCAGCAAATCTAGGATTTGGATCCTCAAACTTTACAAAAATTCTAAGTGACCATTGAGGAAGTTATTACCCACACTTTGTAGAAAGAAAACCAGAGGCAAGAGATTTTACGTTATTTGACCAAAATCCTCAGTATACCATGTTTCATGCTGGGACCTGAACTCAAAATCTAACTTGAAGTTCCTAATTCTATGTCATGCTGAGAATAAACTACATGTAGAAATATGCTTGTAGTTAAGAGAAATAAAATTTAAAACCAATTTTAAAGAGATTTATGCCATCATAAAATATTAATACTATGTATTGTGGCCCAGAGAGAAGAGAAACTCACCCTATCAAACAATTACTTTTTAATTATAAAAATAATTTAATCTCAGAGGCTGGGCACGGTGGCTCACGCCTGTAATCCCAGCACTTTGGGAGGCCAAGGAGGGCGGTTAACCTGAGGTCAGGAGTTTGAGACCAGCCTGGCCAACATGACAAAACCCCATCTCTACCAAAAGTACAAAAATTAGCTGAGTGTGGTGGCGGGCTCCTATAATCCCAGCTACTCAGGAGGCTGAGGCAGGAGAATCACTTGAACCCAGGAGCCGGAGGTTGCAGTGAGACAAGATCGCACCATTGCATTCCAACCTGGGTGACAAGAGCGAGACTCTGTCTCAAAAAAATAAATAAATTAATTAATTAATTAATTTAACCTCAGAAAAAATATATTTGGTATATGAAGAAAACACAGTGCTAACCTTGAAATTTAGCTGTGATTTACTATTCTAATCATTACAGTTGTTATCAAATTTCTCCTCATTCTAAAAGAAATGTTTTCACATGTACTCCTCCATTTTCCACAATGGTGTTTTTATCATTTATTACTGTAAATCCAGCAATTAATTTCTCTATGTAGTTTTAGTCCCCTTGTTATACCTCCAGCTACTGAACGTTTCTATTGTTTCCTTTCGATATTAAAAATTTTTATATAGTTGGCCTTTATTTCAGATTGTGTTTCCATTTATTTTATTAAGTGAGAAAGTAGATGTACAACACTTAGCTCAATCCCTGGTCCATGCTATATTGATGGTTTTCATGATTACCCTTGTTTTGTAATGTTGTGTCAAAAAATCCCTAACTTTTTGTCTTCTTTAGGAAATAACAGACATTTATTGTATTTTTATTCTGGTTTCTATATTTAAAAATTTCAGAAGTACATTTTTTGGATGCTTTATGATACTCCACTGGTTTTGTCACTGTCTATAGTTAGTCATCATTTAGAAGACAGACTTATTTATATAATCTCCATCTCAATTTCTATTTTCTAATAAGCACTAATGCTTTTCTGCTCTTCCCTACCTAATAACATTCTCTTTTATTTGGCTATTGCTTTTGTTTGGTTTGTCTTACAACTGATCTGAAACAGAAGTGAAAAACTACATTACCAAGAGGTATTCTCAGTTTAGAAATATACTTTGAAGAGTTCAGTTCCCAGGTGATGTTGCCAATTCCCATTCCCCATCATAGATCTTTATTTCCTATTGCTTTCTTGAAGTTGTTATTTCCCAAGAGACAGGAAAAATGCAAGCTAAAAGAGTAGGATTGTCATTACCTCCAAAACAATACTCATGAAACAGAGGGATGGTTTCAGTTACCTGATGAATATGTATCTTAAATCTCTGAAATAAGGGAGAGGCATCAAGAGGGTAAAAAGGGTGCTTTGAGTTACTTTTTTTTTTAATCAAGGCTGGTTTGTTTTACGAGCACGAATGAACAACTAGACAATGATCTCAATCTTGTTCATTTGACTAAAAATATCCTGCAAATTCCTCCCAGATTCTGGCAAAGTATTTCTTTTGACTATTGGATCTTTAAAATGTTTCTGATTTATTCTAACTTTTCATATTTTTCCAGTATCTTCAAAGATTTTTCTCATGTGAAATTTACCAAGAAACACACACACACACACACACACACACACACACACACACACATATCATAGACCACTATTACAGTATCACATGATTTTGTTGTGGCCAATACAATGTCATTTTGAGCACATACTCAAGCCACTACACTTGCAACTATAAAAAATGGTCTACTAGTAACATGAAAAAGCCTATTTGTAGTCAAGATAATGTGTTTTTCTTTGTTTTTTAAACTTCCTTGTGAGATATGAGGAAGCGTCAAGTTTGTTGCCCAGATACTGGGATGGGATAGCAATGGCTCACATTGTACTACAGAGATTTAAAGCTCAGACTTTTCTAAAAGATAGTTTTTAGGCCACAGTCATGTCAAATACATCAGGGCAGACCATCAGCTAACACTAAAATCTAGAGGGGGTAGTCAGGGAGGCTAAATTCAGGCAGTCAGAACAAAGGTTAAGAAAAAAAACAAAACTACAAACACTAGATCACAATAAGATGGTCCAAAAGACAAGACATACATGCAGTCAACAATTACATGAAAAAAAGCTCAACACCACTGATCATTAGAGAAATGCAAATCGAAACCACAATGAGACACTATCTCATACCAGTCAGAATGGCTGTTATTAAAAATTCAAAAATCCACAGATGCTCCCAAGGCTGCAGAGAAAAGGGAATGCTTACACACTGTCAGTGGAAGAATAAATTAATTCAACCTTTGGGGAAGACAGTGGTAATTCCTCAAATACCTAAAGACAGAAGTACCATTCAACCCAGCAATCCCTTTACTGGGTATATACCCAAAGGAATATAAATCATAATATTATAAAGAAACATGCACATGTATGTTTATTGCAGCACTATTCACAATAGCAAAGACATGGACTCAACCTAAGTAACCATCAAGGATAGTCTGGATAAAGAAAAATGTGGTACATATACACCACGGAATACTATGCAGCCATAAAAAAGAATGCGATCATGTCCTTTACAAAGACATGGATGAAGCTGAAAACCATTATCCTTATCAAAATAATGCAGGAACAGAAAACCAAATACCGCATGTTCTTACTTATAAGTGGGAGCTATATGATGAGGACATATAGAGGGGAACAACACACACTGGGACCTATTGGAGGGTGGAGGATGGGAGGAGGGAGAGGATCAGGAATATCCGGGTGTCAAAATAACCTGTACAACAAACCCCTGTGACATGAGTTTACCTATATAACAAACTTGCACATGTATCCCTGAACTTAAAATTAAAGTTAAATTTAAAACAACAAACAAAAGAAGGTCCACAGTAGGAAATGAGTGGAGACCCTGATGCGGCACCTTTTGAATTATGAAAGTGTATGTGGAGCTGCAGCTGTTGAGAGCTTCAAACTAGCCCGAAAGGGGTTAAAACTTTGAATTTTTCCTTCAGTTAAATATTACCGATGTGTCTAATCTGTATACTTTAGATATTTTGGCATCCAGTTATAGTTTTAAATGCTTCATAGCTGGGATAAACATTGTAATATTTTACTAGAGGGGTATATCCAGTTTTTAAAATGTTACCTGTCTTTATTTGCTTCTCTAAGACTTCCTTCAGTGAGACTTTACCCAGTTTGACATATCTCCCAAAACTCTGACTTATTTTGGTTATGACTTGTTATTTCAATATGACTAGGGTGAACAAAATGTATATGAATACTTATTTAAGATATTGAATATTTTTCTATCTAGGAACTGCCAATTATAGAAAGGAATAGACTGATCCCCTCAAGGTGTACCCTCTCCCATCCATTCTTTTGTATCCTTTAAAGAAAACACTATTTCTACAACATGACTGCCTCTCAGTATTTTTTGTTGAACCACTGAAATAAATTAAGCAATTATTTATGAAGTATATAAAACATAGAAGATGTTTACACAAATCTCTTTTAATCCTCTCTACAGCAATTATTACTATCTCTGTTCCAGGAGAAAGAACACTGAGCCCCAAGATCACCTTTTTTGTTATCATCAATTATGAGTATTTGTAAACACATGAAAAGGTAGAGGGAATTAATCTCCATTTAACCATCATTCAGATTCCAGATTTTTAAATTTATTGTTTCACTCACTTTGGTATCATTTTCATTCCTTAAATATTATTAAAAGAAAACATGTTATTTCATAATTACTACATCTTTTAGCATGAATCTGTAGAAAACATGGCCATTATCTTACAGAACCAATGTCGTTGTTGTTGTTGTTGTTGTTGTTTTGTCACAACTAGCACATTTAAAGTAATTTCCTGGCATTATTTTATAAGCAGTTCTTACTAAAATTTCCATGATGATCTTTTTATAGTTGGTTTGTTTGAATCAGGATATTCATTTTAAATAACAGATTTAGAGTTTGAAACTACATATATCTGGTACAGTGTTTTTTCCACTATAACACAGAGACTTCCAAATTAATCAGTTAATTAACCAAAAAAGAATGATGTGCTTTTTCAGAGAAAATGCCTGGTGATTTGACACTTTACCTCTTACGTGTAATACTTTGCTAGAGGAGAAACAATGTGATTCTGCTCTGTTAGTGCCCTTGTATCACCAATTCCGTGTTTCTGTAATTGCTTTTCCATTCATGCCAGAATAGCTCAGATCTTGTACTTGTCCCAAAAATATCACTGTACATAATAAGACAAAGGAAGTGACTCCAGTGTCATCAAAAACCAACTAAAGATAAGACTGAATCTTAGAAAACTTAAGAAAGAAAAATAATACCAGAAGAGAAAAATCAGAGAATTCAAAAAATAAAAAAGATTGTAAAGAATGCTTCATAATATTCCATGTGAATATAAGTGTTGGGTTGAATAATCATCTATCTTAATTTACTCATAAAGACATAAAAAGTATAGGCTTTGAAAAGAGACAAATTGGATTTAACTTTACACTCAGCCCACAGTTATATTTGTGACTTTAGGCAAGCTTATTAACCTCTCTAACTCTTGGAATTTTGTCCTTTCATATTTCTTTTGTTTGTTTTTTTTTCAGGTTTTAGGTTTTTAGTTTTAATAATAATAATTAAAGAAAGACCTAACTCTCACAGTTTTGTGAGAGTTGTGTGGTAAAATATCTGTAAAAGTCATGAACAGAGCTCCTGGCACAAATTCTATGCTCAATAAATTCTAGCTATTATTATTATATTATTAGTATTTTATGCTCCATATCACAATTTAGTGTATAAAATAAAATAAATAGCCATCTAAAACCAAAGACATCACAAGAAAAACAAACACAGACCAACTTCTGTTATTAGTATAAATGTAAAAATCCTTAAAATACTAGAAAACAAAATCCATCAACATATAAAAAAATTATAAACGAGAACAAAATGGGATTTATCTCAAGAATGCAATGTTAGTTTAACATCTGAAAATCAACTAATGTAATACAACATATCAATATAATAAAAAACAAATATTAATGATTTCAATAGACTCATAAAAAGCATCTGACAAAATTCAATGCATTTTTATTATATCACACTCAACAAATTAGGAGTAGAAGAGAATTTCCTCAACCTGATAAAAGCCATCTGTGAGAAACCTAAAGCTAACATCAAACCTTTTTTTCATTTTATTTTTAGTTGACATGTAATAATTGTACATATTTGTGGGATACAGTGATGTTTCAATACATATATACAATGTGCATTATTAGGATATTCCTCACCTCAAACCTTTATCATTTCTTTGTGTTGGGAACATTCTAAATCCTCTCTGCTAGCTTTCTGAACATATACAATAAATTTTCATTAACTGTCACCCTGCAGTGCTATGAAACACTATAACTTATTCCCCCATCCAGCTGTAATTTTGTATCTGTTACCCAAATTCTCCCTATTATTCCCTCCCTCTTACCCTTTCCAGCCTCTAATAACCATAATGATACTCTCTATTTCCATGAGCTCAATTTTTTAGCTTCCACATATGAGTGACAACATGCGGTATTTATTTTTCTGTGCCTAACTTATTTCACTTAACAGAATTTCCTCCAAACTCCTCCAAGTTTTTACAAATGACAGGATTTTATTCTTTTTTATGGCTGAGTAGTACTTCATTACATATGTATACCACATTTTCTTTATAGATCTGCTGATGGATATTTAAGTTGCTTTCATATCTTGGCTATTTTGAATAATGCTGCAAAAAACACGAAGGTTCAGATATCTCTTCAATATACTGATTTTCTTTCTTTTGATAAATACCCAGTAGTGGGATTGCTGGATCATACTAGCATCACTCTTAATGGTGGAAGATGGAATTCTTTCTCGATAGGATTAGAAATAAGACAAGGACATCGTTCTTACCACTTCAAATTATTTTTAAAATGAGCAAAAGACATGAATAGGCAATTTTCTAAATAATATATGCAAATGTCCGATAAGCACATGAAAAGATATTCAACATGATTTCATCAAGAAAACATAAAACTACAATGAGATATCACTTCACACCTGCTAGGATAACTAGAATAAAAAAGCAAGATGACAAGTATTAGCAAGGATGTGAGTAAATCACAACCCTTGTATACTGCTGGAGTAGATGTAAAATGGTACAACCACTTTGTGAGGCAGTCTGGCAGTTCCTCAAATGACTAAACAGAGTAGCACATGACCAGGAAATTTCATTCTTAGGTATATACCCAAGAGTAATACGTACATCCACATATAAACTTGTTCACATATGTTCATAGCAGCATTATTCATAATAGCCACAAGACAGAAACAACCTCAGTGTCCCTAAATGGATGCCGAGAACTCATGCAATGCTTGCCAAAATAAAAGCATCCCAACACAGTGGATCTTATTCTTAAAATGGATGGGTTCCTTTATGACAAAGTAAGCATTAGGGCCACTCCACAGACTAGAACAGCACCAATTTATGCCTGATAAAGAGGCCAGACAAAACAGAAGCAGAAACATTTAATGGATTACTGATGACAGAGGCTCAATTGACAGAAAAATAATAGTACAGTTAATAATAGTATAATAATAGTTTCCCTGCTAGCACTGCCCTGTGCTCCAGTCCCCTCGGTACACCTTCCAGCTGATGGTGCACATATACATAAATGAATCTTTCAGATTGTAACCTGAAGGAGCATTTGTCAGCCACTAGGTGGACAATGAGATTATCTGCAAAGGCTTCATGAATGTCATCAGGGCTAGACTTTAGCTAGACAGCTAGATGGCAGATAGCTAGATGGAGAAAACATTTATGTTTTCCTAGATCATGAAACAGAAAAAAAATCCTTGAAAAGATACTGTAACCTAAAATCTAAACGCTTATTTTATAGGACCATTAGAATTAAAAGATATGATGCATATGAAGTGCTTAACATAGTGAATGAATCATAACAAATGTTCAATATATCTTAACTTTCATTAAGGCCAAATTCGAAGAGCACTTCTGATGTGGTTTGGATTTGTGTCCCTGCCAAGTCTCATGACAAATGGTTATCCCCATTGTTGGAGAAGGGACCCTGTGGGAGATGATTGGATCATGGAAGCGGATTTCCCCCTTGCTGGTCTTGTGATAGCTGAGTGAGTTCTCATGAGATCTGGTTGTTTAAAAGTGTGTAGCACCTCGCCCTGCTCTCTCTTCCTCCTTCTCTGGCCATGGAGGATATGCATACCTCCCCTTTGCCTTCCACCATGATTGTAAGTTTCCTGAGGCATCCCCAGCCATGCTTCCTGTACAGTCTGCAGAACTGTGATTCAATTACACCTCATTTCTTTATAAATTACTCTCAAGTAGTTCTTTATAGCAATGCGAGAATGAACTAATACAACCTCAGTGATAGACAAGTACACCATGGGAGCAATAAAGAGAAAGATTTTTATGTGACTGAAAGGGTTAAGGAAGGCCTCAGCATAAAAGCAATATTTGGGATTGACTTTGAAGAGAGACAAAGATTTTAAAGAGCTGACATAAGAGGATTTCAGATTACAGAATATGAGGAAAGATCATAGTTGTACATTTAAAGCATCTATTTGAGAAAACAGGAAATGATGCTTGTGTGGTAAGATATCCTCTCATTTCCTACTTATTTTCTATTTCCTAGCAATAAAATAAATCTAATTATCCTCTCAGAAAGCTTTGTGATGGAGAGACTTATTATATGTGTACTGTTGTTCTAGTAATTTGGTACTCGAGCTAACTTAAGTTTCATAAGTTTTATTTATGAAAGAATACTATAAAGAGAAAGAGACACAGCAACACATGGAGACATAAGTGGGAGGAGAGAACAAAAGAAAAGAAAAAGAAGGAAGTAATGGTAGTGGAACAATATAAATAACAGAAATATGATAGATTGATTTATTGATTGATTTAGATAGATTAGACAGATGAGTATAATTGGCTTATTAGATGTTCAATCAAGGGACAATCCTTTCTCATTTCTTTGGCATTAGACTCTTTCTGGTGAGAGATGCTGATATGGTTTGGGTCTGTGTCCCCAGCCAAATCTCATGTCAAATTATAATCCTCAATGTTGGAGGTGGGGTCTGGTGGGAGGTGATTGGATCATGAAGGTGGAATTCCCCTTTGGTGCTGTTCTCCAGACAGTGAGTGAGTTATCACGAGATCTGGTTATTTGAAAGCGTGTAGCACCTCTCCTCAATCTCTTCCTCCTGCTCCAGCCATGTAAGATGAACCTGCTTCCCCTTCACCTTCCATTATGATTGTAAGTTTCCTGAGGTCTCTGCAGCCATGCTTCTTGTATAGCCTGTGGAACCAAACTGTGAGCCAATCAAAACTCTTTTCTTTATAAATTTCCCACTCTTAGGTAGTTCATTATAGCGATGTGAGAACCAACTAATACACACATTTACTTGATAGAAGGAAAAGAAATAACTGAAACTCTATTTTAATTTTATGAAGGACTGATGACTAATCTCCAGGTCTATGTTACTGAGTATCTCCTTTCAGTCTTTAACTCCCTCACTTGAACTCCTTGCTTCATTCTCTATGAACGAACACTGCTACCTGTTAGGTATGCATCCTTTTTTCACTTTCTCCGGGTATTTACATACTTTTGGATATTCATATTGCTCAGCAAGTTGCTTATGTCACTTAACAATGCATCTTTAAATCACTTAAGGTGACTTTCTAGTTTATTTATTTTAATTGGTGTATATTATACCATCGTATGTATCAATATTTTATTTAAACATTCTACTGTTGGTAGATATGCATGTCTTCCTAAATCTACTTTCTGGCTTTCTAAGAATGTGAAATAAATAACTTTATGAATATATATATTTATTTACATATATGTGAGTGTGTGTATATATATATAACATATACATTTAAAAGTACTTCTGTTGGGATACATAGAATCTATCTGTAGATAGATTTGTGAACACTGTATTTCTGAGTCAAAGTATGTGCATCTTGATATATACTGCCAAATTTCTCTCTAATTGACTATCTATTTCCTTTCCAACTAGCTGTGTTCAAATATGCATGATTATCTGATTCTTGCCAGCACAAGATATCACAAATCATTTTTTTCTCCAAGTCTCACCTTAATTTGCATTTCCCTGACTACAGTGAGGTTAAATATCATTTTATTTATTTATTTATTTATTTATTTGAGTCAGAGTCTTGCTCTGTTGTCCAGGCTGAAATGCAGTGACACAATCCTGGCTCACTGCAACCTCTGCCTCCCAGCCTGAAGCAGTTCTCCTGCCTCAGCCTCCCAAGTAGCTGAGACTACAGGTATGTGCCACTACTCCTGGCTTATTTTGTATTTTTTTTAGTAGAGACGGGGTTTTGCCACGTTGGCCAGGCTGGTCTTGAACTCCTGACTTCAAGTGACCCATCCGCCTCAGCCTCTCAAAATGCTGGGATTACGGGTGTGAGCCACCACATCCAGCTAACATCATTTTAAATTTGTATTATTCATTAAATATACTTATATAAATTTCATCTATTTTGAAATTTTTAATGGGTTCACATTTGTAAAATAAAGTGTAATACATGTACGTAGTTATGCATGCACAACACACATATGTGCATCTCACATGTTATAGGAAAAATTCAGTAAGGAAACACTAAATTGTCAAATATAACTACTTCTGAAAAGGGTAGCAGGATTTAGGTAAAGTGTAAATGGAGACATCTATATTCTTTGATTTTTAAAATAAAGTTATTTTGCGTAAATATTGACATTAAAATATTAAAAGAATAATTTTCACTAGGATGCTTCTATAATTATATTTAAAATTTTTTATTACATATTATTCCATTCTGTACTAAAAAGGATTCTTACATTAAAAATTAAATCTATTCTGGGAAATTCTATTATTTACTTTATTATCTACTTCTCCCATCCCCTATCTTCACTTTTTCTCTGTTCTTTCTTTCTGGCTTTCCTATTAGATGGCAATTAGAATTCCTGGAACTGCTTCCTTATCCCTTAATTTTTTCTTCTTTGTTCTTGATTACTGTGTTTAGAAAGAGTACATTTGGCTAAATGTTCCAGTTCACTAATTAAATTTTCAGTATTTTTATTCAATTAATCCTCCCATCTATTAAGGTGAGGTTTTTCTCAGTAAACATGGTTTGAATGTCAAAAACAGAGCTAATTGCTTAATTTGTCCTTCACAATCTGTTCCTTTCTTATCCATCAATTTTTTCTCTAATGATATTATTTATTTCAAAGTTTCCTTCTGTTTACCCTTGGGACTTATTCTGTTTATCGTTTTTGTTTTTCTCAAATATTCAGCGATTCTTGATCATCTGTTCATGTTTATAGATGGGAGCAGAGGTTCATCAATATAGCTGGTAGGAATATATTTTCCCAACTTGAATTATAATTCCTGTGCTCCTAACAATCTGTACAGTTTTCATTACAGCGTCTCTGGCTTTGATGATTTTTAAGAATGCTAGAAAGTCCATGTTAGTAATTTTCCTTTGCATATGTTTAAATGGCTTGTTTTCTGAGTGCTTGAGTCCTTAATCCTAGTAGTGTGTTACATAATTCCCTCAAGGGCGTAATATTGGACTGCAGGTATTTCTGACAAACAGCTTCAACTATTTGATTTCAGGGATGGATGCCTCAAAATTGCTGTCTATTGATTGAAGAGAATAGCTTTTCCAGACTTATTGTAGATGCACACACACACACACACACACACACACACACACACACTTCTTAGAAATGACAGATAAATATGATGGAATATTTACCAAATCCTTGTATCAATCAATCTCTCTCTCTCTCTCACCCTCCCCCTACAGATATATAAGTGTATATATATTTGTATGTATATATATGTATATGCATATGTTTGGTGCAAGTGAGGGACCTCTGCACAAATGTTCAGTGTTCTTTTGAACTCAATTCCTTTAAGTAGTCACCATTTCCATAAATGCTAATTGTTGTAATGATTGAATAAATATGGTAAAATATCAAATTTTATTTGCTAAATAAAATGTGTTCAAATGATCACTCTTTCCTTTTATTACGTGCAAAAGGAAATGTACTTTCCTTCCTGTTTTTCCCCTTTATGTTTTTTTTTCTTTATTTTCTTTTCCTATCTTTCCTTCCTTCTTTCTTTTTTATTCATCTCCTACAAAAAAAGGGGAAAGTAAGTTTACATTTTAAATTTAAATAAAGAGTGAAACAAAATTGACCTTTACACTATATGTCAAATTCAGTGGCTTTGTTTTGAGAAGTTTAAGGAACTTCCCTGGTCTTTTTGAACTTTCATTTCTTAAAAGGAAAATTACAATAGAAAAATCAGCCGTATGCTGTAGAATGAAATATATTTTGTCATCCACTTTGAACACAGAATCAAATTATTGCTTTAGATGTATATCTACAGTTTCATTTTTAGAAACTATTTAAATCTTTTATGTGAAATGTCTTCTACCTTTAGACTTTGTAGTAGTGTCTCTTCATTTCAAATATATAGCCAAATTATAATTATAAGGGTGTTACATAGTTTCTTTCCTCCTCTTTTCCCCAGGTTTATTTTTGCAGCAGAGTATGAGCAAGTTTCAGCTATTGGAAGTGCCTGAATAGACAGTCAAGGAAATACCTCCAATTTGTCCATCAGAGAACTTTGAGAATCATACATTCAAAAATGTTCAAAGCCCTAGGAGTTTTTAATTTTTAAAATTAATATTTTCACTAGCATACTGTAACATCTACATCTGTTAGTCTGAATATGTTAATGAGCTAATGTCTACCATATGCCAACAGCAATCTTCACTCACCCTGATGGTGTCTGTATTTTGTAACTTCTTAGCAGGCATTACCTTCAGCAGTCACAGTCATAAACTTGCAGTTGTCTGTTAAGCAACCATTTGTCACTATTGTCACTTAAGAACAGAGAGTGACTTCCCTCTCCCCTCAGCTCTGGCAAGCAGTAAAGTTTGTTAAAATAACTAGAACATTTTTACTGTCTTGCATTCCCTGATTTTCTTTACCAATATTATTTCTATAAATGCTTGCCATAATACTTGACATTTCTTCTTGATATTTCTCGAATCCATTCTTTTATTTCTACCTTCAATACTGCTACCTTATTTCAGGCGACCATCAACTCCTTTCTGTATGCATGCAAGAGCCTGCTAACTCCTCACTTTTTAGTTAGGGCTTCTTCAATCTACTCCCTAAATTACCATCAGATAATCCTTTATAATGTAGCAACCTAATGTTATTCTTTGTTCCACCTCATCAGTGTCTTCCTGTTTTCTGTTTTCTTTAAGAAAAGTTCTGATTTTTTTATTATGGCTTCCTTTGAACCCTTACTTTGAGGTATTTTCTTCTCCACCTTCGTCTTTCATTATTCTCCATTTGGACTCTTCACACTCTACATGTATAAAACTATGAGCAGTCTCTCTCTCAGAGCATTTTTCTCTCTAATCTCTAAATCTTTGTAAATACTTCTACTTCTGAAAAAATTATTTTCTTAACTTCCCACTTTTAACAAAGAAATCCCATCATCATAAATTGGTATCTTTGTTCAGTGCACTTCGTTGTGATTGCCTGTTTACAGTCTTTTCTTCTATAATTGAAGGTAAAATGCTTGTAGGTCAGTTTAAGCATTATCTACAATTGTTTCTCAGTACTTTATACAGTTTTCACTTATGGAAGATGCTCAATAAATGTGTCTGTGAGATGCAATTTAGAGTTAAGCATATTTCTGGAATTGCACCATCCTGGAATGCCATCTGAATATCTACTAAAGATTTTCTATCTAAATGATTTTTTAATGATTGAATTCAATCACAAAAGTATTTTTTTTTTGCTCGTAGAATACCCTATACATTGTTCTGTTTCAAATAATCATATTTTATGGTAATAATGTAATGCTTAATGAATTAATAGAGAGCATATGCCAATAGGAAAATGAACGTTGAAGAACTACTGGAATAATAGTGCTGAGTTTATGCTATCTGCCAGGGAATGTGCTCAGTATTGGGGCTACAAACACAAACAAAACATGGTGATCATCATTAATGAGTGACTACAATATCCAGGCCCTGTTCCAGGTCTTAAAGCTATGTTTTGGATAAAGAGCCAATAGGGCTTTATAGATGGTTTGAATGAATAGTGAGAAAGCGAAATTAATTAAGTTAAATGTCTAGATTGTGATCTTTAGCAACAGGATTATGATTCCATTACTATGAGGAGAGTGATTGGAAAACAAACATATTTCATGAAATTTTATGATTTCTATTTTTAACAGGTTAGCTTGAGATACTTAGACATTCTTCCATGTATATCTGTAAATTGACCATTAACTATGCTACTCTGGAGTTCTAGGGAGAACCCCATATAGATGCTACATTGTCTCTGGTTCCTAGGACAGAGTCTATAAATACTTGAAACTATCAGAGTAGTAGGAGTATTTCTATTATTTATGAGCCTCTTGGATCACATCTGAATCTGTGCTAAGAGATAAGTCAGATTTGGCTGTGGTCACTGGAAAGACCAACAATGTGATTACAAAGTTAGGGCTTTGAGCCAGCCTAATTTCTAGGGAGAGGAGGGGCCTGGAGATTTAGTTTGATTTTGTGGGCAGTGATTCTATCAATTATGCCTGTGTAATGGAATCCCAGTAAAAATTCTGAACACTGAAGCTTAATGAAGCTTTCTGGTATGTGAACATATATCAATATGCCAGAGGGTTATGCACCCTAATTTTACTGCCAGAGGGCATGAAAGCTTTGCATTCAGGACCCTCTAAGATCTCTCCTTCTGTGTCTCTTCATTTAAATGATCCTGATATGTATTTTATATAATAAAACTGTAATCATAAGTATCATGCTTTCCTGAGTTCTGTGAGTCATTTTAGTTAATTCTCAAACCTAAGGAAGTTTGGGAGAAGCGCCCAGATTTTGAGCTAGTTGGTCAGAAGTGCAGGTGGCACAGGATAGCTCAAACTCATTGCTAGCATTTGAAGTGGGAGCAGTCTGGCTGTGGACCATGACTTTTAACTTGTGGGGTATGGACTAATTCCATATGGTAAGTGTAAAACTTGAATTACAGTATTGCAAAAGACAGTAAAAGTAATGAAAGTCATAGAACAGGAAGAGAATTCTAGGAGGAAACTGTATATGAGTGAGTGAAGAGATCCATAAACATATCCCCAGAAGAGCATATATTTAAAGGACAAGCAAAGATGGAAGAGCCAGTCAAGGAGACTGAGAGGGTAACTATTGTAATGGTAGAAGGAAAGGAACTATTACTGAGGTAGGAAGAAAATAAGAAGAAGGTAATATTCCATAAAAATACTAAACTAAAATATTTCAAGAAGGAAAGAAGGTTAATCTCTGAGAAACTAATAAGAGATAAAATAGCAGTCAATGAGTAGAGATGCCCGCATGGAGATCTTTGCTCACAAAACAGTCCTGCTAAGTGAAATAGTCATACTAATTACAATAATAAGTATGATGGTAGCTAAACATTTAATGAGTACCTATTATAGGCCAAACTCTCCTTTAAGTAACTTAGTTTAGGGTATTGATTGATTTGGTATTCACAATACTATAAGCTGGGTTCTATTACTTTTCCTACTTTAATGACTATTGTTAAATTGTAGTGAATTGAGGAAAACCTATGAAATGAAAAATGTATCTATATTTAACTCTTTGAATAAAGTTTTCTATAAAGGAAAGTATATAAATATAATGATATGGTAATAAGGTAGTAGATGTGACAATATAGATAAGCTAAAAGCATAGGAAATGTTAGTCAAAAAGTGGAATGGATAAAATTGAAGGCACTATTATTATTGGAGTCAATAATATTTTTTAATTAATAATACTAGTCAAGGAATTGGTAGTGACTGATGTATACAAAAATAGATGCAAACAATTTTTTGCAGTAGATTGTGATAAAAACTCTTGTAAAGGGTTACTGTATAAATGAGAGTGAAGTGGAGATATTACTGAATTCCAAGCTTTACATATATTTGTCTTAAGACCTTGTTTGGCATATAAGAAGATGTGTCTTCTGTTGAAAGTGCATTTTTAGCCAACACTTAATATAATTGTGGGGCTAAGTATATAATAAAATTTTAGCATTTGTTATTGAAAACAAGTATTTATATGGGTTTATCAATTCACAGTAAACATTCATATACATACATGCATTATTTACTTTAAGCACATTATTTTCTCTAAACAATATATCCACTTTAGAATAATATTTTTTTTCTATTTTTCTGGACTTTACTAAGTAATTTCTCACATGCATCCATACACAAAAACAAACCACACTCAAAACTAAGACTAACTGGTCTTCTCCAGTGCTGGAACTTATTAATCTGCCAGCACATTTTACAGATAAGAAAGACCTAAGGAGTTTCTACAACAAGCTCAAATGTTATTTGGTTAGTTTGTGGTAATGTTGAAACTACTCCTTTCCCAACTATGAGTTCTTCTTATTGCAAATTAAATATATACATATAGATTCATGTTGCATTTCTACAGCTATGAGGCTTCTAAATAGAGTAAATGTGAGGAAGAGTGAGTTACTGACTAAATGAGTCATTGCTGTTGTGCAGACAGACTCATGAAATGGGATGTACTTCTGAGTCACTTTCGTTTTCACCTTTGTTCCTCTGCCTGTGGCTTGCTAGCAATCAGTCACATTCACTTTCTCTCCTGAAAAGTATATTGTTCTTGCCCTTCAGCTCTTTCTTCATAGCTTGGAATCCCCAGGAGACATTTAAAAAATAAAGATCAATCTGGCTTTTAGAATGTTAGAAGATTGCATTAACCCCTGACACACGTTGGGGTCATAGCAGGTGGCAATGAACCTCCCAATCCTAAGGCTTAAAAGTTGGCCTTTTTTAAGAACATATGATCCAAGTCACTCTGTTCATCCCCATCACAACTTTTCTCACATAATAATCCATTTGAACCCACTGAGTGGCCCAGTGAATCTGCAGATATGAAATCCACAAGGTACACACAGAAACAATCTGCCTGTGTTGTGGCTCTGCAGCCATGCAATTGTACATCTCCTGCAAAGGTAACCTCAACATAACCACCTGGCAGTCAACTGTACCTTATTCATGGTATGTGGGTCAGATAGCATGAAGCTCTAGGTAACTACAGTGGGACAAAAAAATTAAACATTAAAAAATAAAAATTTGAGGCAAACAGAACCAGGTTCCCCAAGCACAAGTTGATATTACCTAAATGATGCATGTATGCTCTAGAAACAAACAAAAAAAAGTTTATACAGTATTTATACGATTTATTTACATGGTTCTTCAAGGGAAAATCTTCTGAATGATAGCACAGCTGGCAAAAGTTAGGCTACATTGGAAAGTAAGTTTGAAAGATTCGATTCAGGAGTGTACTTTGTCCTTAGAATACATTTCAAAGCTATAAGGTTTGCCACAGTCCATTTCAAAGATTTACTTAAACCCTTCAAACTCCTGTCAATATAATAACAAAGAATGAATGAATAAAGAGTTAAACAAGTGAGCTAAAATCCTTTTGAGTTGGAAAAACATTCTGTAACAGAGGGAGCTAATAAGCAATGAGGTTGCGACTTCATAAAATCACCTTTCTCTTATTTTCTGAGTTATAATCATATGGTACTTAGGTAGCCTACATAATACTGAGCATAAAGTAAAGAAACTCTTAAGCTGCTGCTGTCAAAAAATGAAAAATATTATAATGCTATATGTAATATTCAGATTCCAAGAAATAATTCTTACTGTCAGCATGCATGGAAAAGAGAGCTTTTGCACTGCTTGGCCATTTCCATTTATTTGAAATGCAAGAAGTCTGAGTATGACAAGCAATTTATAGAGAAGTGAGTCCTTCTTTAGAAATCAGCTTTCATATATTTTTTGTGGTTCATGTTGTTCCTGGCTCAGTAATATGTGAAGTGTATGCAGTTTTTTGAAGTGTAGTCAGTTCATCCCCTGCAGATCTTTTTGTGGTCTATTTGATAAGGAACCCTTTGAAAAACTGGATTTCAAGTTGCTCTGAGCCATTCTTGATTTTAATGTCCAAAGTAAGCACAACTACAAATATGAAGCATCGTCCTCAGAATTCTGGCTTATTATAAAAATCACACATGTCCATGGCAGAAATTTAGAAGATATGCTTAAATAAAATTATCTGTATTCTCTAAGATGTTGATATAAATCTTCCCCATATTTTTGCTATAAATATATACATTTCTATTAATATACAAATGAACAATGTATACTGATGACTAGATGCACCATTCATTAAGGGCAAATATTACAATTTATTCTATTTATTTTTCAACAGTATTCAATCTAACATGTCATTTAAATCTTTAAAAACTAATGTGTCTTTAAATGATGAATGCCTAGGCATGTGAGCAAGTAAATGGGTAATACAAATACAGAAATTGCTTAGGAGACAAAAGTATGATACTCTGAAAAGGGAATCTCTGACCACCCTGTTAGCAATGAGGAGAATAATGATTTTAGATCATTATTTGAGGTTAATAAAGTTGTATGCTACACAATGAAGGTTTTGAATCTAACATCATAAATGGTACAACAAAACTGCATGTTATGTATGTCTCAATGATGGGAATAGTGAGAAAATGGTAAAGAGGTAGAAAATATGTGGATAAATAAATAAACTGAAAAAATGCCACATAATATGCATATAATCTGCAATTAGAAAAATAGATGTATAGTGTTCATTAAAGCTTCAGGAGGTATCAGTGTTTCAAAATTTCCAAGAAGGAAGTGGTAACTTGAAATTGTTAGCAACTGCCATGATTTGCATAAAAATGTGAGAGTAATGGAGGAGGCAACATTAACAACTCTTGTTGCTTCATGAAAGAATGCTGAATATTTGTGAAAGTAATTAAAAGTATGTGTTATTTCTCTGAACAGATCACCAGCACTGATGAAACTGGTGTATTATAAAATTTCTGGTGTATTACATAGCTAATGAATAAGGAGGGAATAGCTTTATGGCAGCAATGTTCAAGCTGATTATCTTAGGGTCAGTGCTTCAGTGGATTTCAAGAGATATTCCATAATCAAGAGATACTCCATACAGCGGCGGCTCACACCTGTATCCTAGCACTTTGGGAGGCCAAGGTGGGTGGATCACCTGAAGTTGGGAGTTCTAGACCAGCCTGACCAACATGGAGAAACCCCGTCTCTACTAAAAATACAAAATTAGCCAGGTGTGGTGGTGCATGCCTATAATCCCAGCTACTCAGGAGGCTGAGGCAGGAGAATCGCTTGAACCCGGGAGGTGGAGGTTGTGGTGAGCCGAGATCCTCCATTGCGCTCCAGCCTGGGCAACAAGAGCGAAACTCCATCTCAAAAAACAAAACAAAACAAAAAGAAATATTCCATAATTCTCTAGAATCCTAAACATTTTTCCTTTATGGGTAGGAAAAATTAAACTCTGTCTTTAAATTACTTTTTTAATAAGTATGTTTCCTTATTGGGGACATAATTAAAATATATTCAATTGATTAAATAGAGTATGATTTAACAGAAAAATTATATCAAAGGTTTTGCTAAATCTGTGCAATGCTCTTATTCACTCATTGTCACTCCATGCTAATCTAATGCTTGATATCCTATTTCTTTTAAGCAAGATTTTATTCGTTTACATTATGAATCAAAATATGGTTAGTGCATTCAAGATCTACCCCAAATTATATATGTCTAACCATATTCCAAATTTAATTAATAATTCTAATTTTTACACTGAAAGCATTTGTATGTTAACAAAATGAAATAATTTATAAATAAAATGATCAATGAACTCTTCATTAAACATATTAGAAACTGTAGAATGAGACCACTTTTAGTATTTAAGCTTTCACATCAGTGGCAAATGAATAACCATTGAAACATCCACACAACTTTGGGGTTGTGCTTTAAGTCAGTTCAACCCCCCTATCTACCAGATACGTGCTCTAAGGAATTATCAGAGAAATGCTTCAAAGCATGGCTAGCATCACTGAGTGATGATGTGGCATAAAATAAAGTTATGGGAATAAATATGAGACTAACTCCAAAACACTTGAGCAATTGCTTATTCCAGGCTTCAAACATCCCTGATGAAGCAATGGAAATCAATCATTTCCTCAGCATGAAGCTTGACCTTCAGAAAAGGGTGGAAATGATTTGCTGCAACTCTATAAAGAGGTGCAAAGAGACCTTCATTAATAGTCTACTCAGCCTATGTCATGTTTTTTTTACCAAAGTGATCTTGAAAGAACCTTCAAAACAACAGAGATCAGAATCTGATCAAAATAGCATCTGATTAGCCATCCTTGACTCAGCCTTTCCAAAATTTCCACTAAAATATATAAATAAAAACACAGAATGAGATGAAATCTCATCAAAATACTAAGAAATAATGCTGCCAGTGCTTTCACTACACTCTTTAAGGGGATTTTACTAATTCATGACCTATAGAGACTAATAAAGAATAACAACTCTTAGGAAACTCATGATTCAATTCCACCCAGAAAGAAGGTAGAAAAACCCACTCTTCTTCGACTCTATGAATCCTAATTCAAAGGCTCACAACAGCATTTTTCCTATATGAACACCCAGAATTATCTACCAAAGTGCATATCAAAACATATATTCCTGAGCCCAATTCAGTAAGTTTTAAATAAAAATACTTTGGTGTAGAGCTTAGAAATAAGCATTTTCAATAAGCATTGAGAGTGACCCTTCAGCACATTAACATTTGAAAACCACTACCCTATATAACAAAAAGTCTTAAAATTAAGAGTCACCAAAAAAACATAGCATATATATAGACTCTAACCACAGGGTTATAACAGAATTAACATTTTTCTTGAATTTTCCGTACCTGCCATGATCTTATAGCCCTCAGATTTATATATATGTATAAAATCATAAACACATATATAATAGATTTAACAAAGAAATTATTGTTGTCATGGAGATTCCATGAGGAATCAACCCATTTTTCACTACTTCCAGATAAAACCTGGCTGTCAAGTCCCCAGAAAGAATTAACTTCATATTAAGTTACAAAGAATAAAGATTAAAAGATCATCAAAAACCATGTGCCTTGACAGAAGATACACATTTGTCAGAGATCCGTTTAAGACCAGGAGTAGGAATTTCTTCCCATGCAAGCTAGTGACGCAGGATTTTTCTTAGTTACTTTGCCAACCAAGGACTACCACAGCCAGCTGGCAACACCCCCATACCACCTGGGCCTTGCTGGGCTGGGCCTGATGCTGGAGGTGCCCTGCCCACTTGACCCCCCTGTGTTATAGCTTGTACCTGTGTTCAGCAGTTCCTGAACTCTTGTCCTGCATCCAAGAAAAATGAGGATATGCTGACAGTTTGAAGGGTGAGGAGGATGGAGAATAATTTTATTGAGTGACAGAACATTTCTAAGCGGAGAGAGGACACAGAGATGGTCCCTCACCCATGCAGTCAGGTGGCTTCTCTACCATTGTGGCTGAATCCAGGGCTTTTGTGGGCTCAGAATAGGAGAGTGCATGCCAATTGGTTTGTGAGTATGCAAAAAAGGTTAAAGCAAAGGCACCACTTAAAGGTGGTCACAACAGTGTAGAAAGCCAATTAGGAAAGGCTAGGTATATGCAAAATAGGTGAAGCATGGGGATCAATCAGAGGAAAGCATGGCAATCAGAAAGACAGGTTCTCAATCCAGTCTGTGGGTTTCATTTGTAGCATGGCTTTCAGGTTATAAATTGTCTTCAGCTTAGAGGTGGGGTTTCACTGGGGACCCGTCCCTATTTGCCTAGGCATTTGCCTGCCTCCTGTCGCTATCGCTAAAATGTGAGTTGGTGTTGGTTCTGCTCAGATTAACAAAATAAGAAGAGGAAATCCTCCCTCAACTTTGTAAAAAAGTTATTGCCCCCATTTTAGTCATGAGAAAAATATATAAACTCTTCTACATAATCAATGGATTTTTAAAAACCATGTGCTATAGTCACAGAATATGAAGACTCATCATGAGAGCTAAGACTCTGGGATCTTCTTATTTAGGTCATATCTGTACACTTTCCACTGTGAGCTTGTTTGTTCACTGAAAGCACTCATCATAAGCCTCATCAATATAAAAACTCTTGGTAGGACCAAGGGCAAACTAAGCTGAAGATCATGTTTGCATAGTTCACCTGCAACTTACCAACGTAGTTCAGAATAGAGTATGTCAAACCACCTTATAAAAACTGGGGCATCTGAAGGCATAAAAGTGTTCATTGAGATAACCTTTAGGAATGAATCATCCCTATGAGGATGATTCTGATGAAATATTTCTGAGGAGGGTTCAGTCAGTCAATGATATAGAGCAGTTGGAATGTTTCTGTTAAGGTTAACTAGAGGTAACACTAGTTTGTAGACAGGAAATAGTCCAGATTATTCAATGACAGGTCATGTTATTACAGCTCAGAGCAGCATCTCCCCTTGGTTGTCACTGAAACCAAGAGAACCAGGAGGACATCTAGAAGGAATAGATGGATAAATAAATGTAAATTTTTTTAAATACACCAAAAACAAAAACTCTATATTTGATAACACTACTTAAGAAGTAAAGTAGTTTTATTTTCTTTTTTATTGTGTGACTCTTTTCAACTAGCATCTCCAATAGTATCTTTGGATCAATTCAACTAATCACTTGGGAATCAGAAGTAGAAATGTTTTAAACTGGTTCACATACATGGGCAAGATTTGTATTCATGAAAGACATGTAACTGTGATGAATTATATGTTTTCTCAGACTGGTTCAAGCATTGTCTGAATATAAAACAGGCTCAAAATTGGTGCCTCTTAAATGTGAGTTGCGTTCTCTTTACTATAGGAAGACCTCATAAATCTGTGTGTGTGTGTGAGATTAGTAACTGGGAGTGCATAATAAGTACCTGAATGAATAAAAAGGAAATACAGTCTATGGGGAGAAGGCAGAAAAGGCAGAAATACTTGTAAGGAATCAGGACAATGACTAGGTTTAAAACAGCGCAAACTTTTCGCACCCTTTCAACTTAAAAGAGCAACCTACGATGCATCAGTGAAAAAGGGGTTAAATGGAGAACTATGTTATAATTTAAAGGCAAGATCTATCACTATAACTGCTTTGAATGCTCTTAAATATGTTCTGATGAGTTTTGAGCTCCAGGGTTTGAGCGAAATGCATTACTCTGGATATAAATTATAGATGTATGTACATAACATAAATGTTTACTTAAAGGCGAATTAATTGGGGAAGTAAAAACTTTCCAGCAGGAGGTACAATTTAGATTTTCCTTGAAAAAAAAATTAGTAAGATTTCAACATGAAAAGTTGACGAATTTCAGAAAATGGAAACAATACAATCAAATCCATGAATAAGGAAAGAATGGGGTTTATAAGGGCAATTCTGAATAGGGAGAAATATGAGATAAGGCTAAATGTGGCCGGGCGCGGTGGCTCACACCTGTAATCCTAGCACTTTGGGAGGCTGAGGAGGGTGGATCACGAGGTCAAGAGTTCAAGACCACCAACCTGGCCAAGATGGTGAAACCCCTTTTCTACTAAAAATACAAAAATTAGCTGGGCGCGATGGCAGGCGCGTATAATCCCAGCTACTCGGGAGACTGAGGCAGGAAAACCGCTTGAACCCAGGTGGCAGAGGTTGCAGTGAGCCGAGATCGTGCCACTGCACTCCAGCCTGGGTGATAGAGTGAGACTCCAGCTCCAAAAAAAAAAAAAAAAAAAAAAAAAAAAAAAAAAAAAAAAAAAAAAAAAAAAGACTAAGTGTGTGGTTGAAGGATCTGTAAGAGATTTAATTCACGGAGGAAAAGGCATCAAAGGTCAAGGCCACTGGAGACATGCAAATGACCTTCACAGGTTAAAACTTACAGGTACTGGCTGCCCTCAGAAGGCAGTCAGCCAGGCATTGTATATTCAAGAAAGCCTACCAGATTAGTCAGCTGAAATGGTTAAATAAAAGAATGCTGCAAAATAGATGCAGAGACAGGAGTTGAACAGGCAAGGAGAGTCATTTTAGCCAGACACAACAAGAAAAAAAGTAAGGAGCAGAGTGAAAATGTATATGGTACAAATTGGGTTTGGGACAGAGGGAAGTTCTCTAGGCAATAAGCCGACCAGGAAAGATCAGTGTAAACCATGGCATACACCTCATTTTTTGGCTCCATCTTGTATATCCTAATGTAACTCTACTTAAGGATTCTTACTTGGAAAAATTCTTTGGAATACCACGTTTATTTCTATTCACATGATATTTTAATGACTCTCTATATATTTCTATTTTCAGATTCATGAAAACTCTGAAATTGGAGTTTATGGTGACCTAATGACTATAATGTAATTATTACTACAGTGTCGAGCTAATCTGATTTCAGAATAATACAAGTGGATAGTTTCTATCTACTTAATAAACCTGCACGTTGTGCACATGTACCCTAGAATTTAAACTATATTAAAAAATAAAAATAAAAAAGAATTTAATGCAATTTCATCAGTGATTAGAAGACCAATATATCTAATCAGTTTGAGCCTGGGAACATTAATTAGGGTAGAATTCTTATTCTACCACAAAAATACTTTCTCAACCCTCAGATTCTCTAAATTTTACAACTTTGTTTCCCCTTCCTTCACATGGAAACCTTTACAATGATTTGTCAATCCATTACATCATTCTCCAGTTTCAGTCAATCACAATGTTCAACCTATTATATTTCTCAACCCTGTTTTCCAAACTTTCACATCTCCGTCCTCCAGCAACGACCTTATTATGAACCACTATCTTTTTATTTTTAATAATTGACTTCTCCTGTAATCCCAGCACTTTGGGAGGCTGAGGCAGGCAGATCATGAGGTCAGGAGTTCGAGACCAGCCTGACCAATGTGGTGAAACCCTGACTTTACTAAAAATACAAAAGTTAGCTGGACATAGTGGCATGCACCTGTAATCCCAGCTACTCAGGAGGCTGAGGCAGGAGAATTGCTTGAACCTTCGAGGTGGAGGTTGCAGTGAGCTGAGATCGTGCCGCTGCACTCCAGCCTGGGTGACAGAGCAAGACTCCATCTCAAAAAAAAAAAAAAAAAAAAAAAGAATTGACTTATATTTTCTTTGCATTGCATTACATTTTCTTTTTGTAGTAGAATATACATAATATAAAATTTACCGTTTTAATCACGTTTAGTGTATAGTTCAGTACCATTAAATACATTCACATTGTGGTGCAATCATCAGCACCATCTGTCTCCAGAATTTTTTTAATCATTCCAAATTCTGTACTTATTCAATAATAATTCCCCTTTTCTCCATCCCCCAGTTCTTGCTAAATTCTTACCTATTTTCTGTTTCCATAGTTTGCCTATCTAAGTTCCTCATACAAGTGGAATCATGCAATATTGTCCTTTTTTGTCTGGCTATTTCACTTAACAAAATGTCCTCAAAGTTTATCCATGCTGTAACATGTGCCAGAATTTTACTCCTTTTAAAGACTGAATAATAGTCCACCCTATATATATGAGATATATATGATATATGTGATATATATGATATATATATGTCATATTGTGTTCTTCCATTCACCTTTCAATGGGCATGTGAACTGTTTCCATATTTTGACTATTGCATTGCATTTCTATTACACGTTTCCTTAGACAGTATTGTCTGTATTATATATGATTTATTAAGGTTTCTTTGGCCTAGTAACATCACTGTTTTTAGTTAAGATTGAATGCATGCTTAAAGAGATTGGGAATTCTCTATTCACAATTCACACCAAATGGATACCTTTGGAGTAACTAGTAGTAACCAAATAGTTACCTGAAGATTGAGGGGAGCTGGGAGGAGGTGGAGTTGGAGATCGGATAAGAGTTTCAAGGGGAACTTTGAATTTTCTGCATGTTTGAATCCATTTTTCCCCCATTAAGACATATTAATTATAGTTTGGAAAATAAAATGTAGTTTTTTTATTTCCAACTACTACATGCATTCCAGTGCTACAGTCATATAGTCAGACTTACTTATCCACCTTCAGGATTCCTATTTATCTCCTATACATATGGGTAAGCATCCCACACATAAGGATCTGAAAACAAGTCTACAGTTCTGAAATCTTAATTTTCTCGTAAAAGATTTCTTCATTAGAAACATCTTTTAATACTATCCCTTTTATATCATCTGGCATCATATTGTGAGAATAACATCAAGTCTGTACTTCACATGTGAAATAATACCAGATTTTCATACATGTAATTTGATCAAAACATTGTGTACTCCAGGGAAATGTCTGAAGCTTTATCTTGTATTCATAAAACTGGTATGTTACCCACAGATCTTCAGTCTGTCAATAGTATAGCAATATTATACAGGAACCTGCTGTTTATGCTAGTTTAAGTTCATTGCTTGTGCTAGCCTCAGTTATCTTCCATAACTCACAATTATTAGAAACCACATTCAGTTGTCTCATAGGTGTCTGATTTGTAGTTAAATATTTTCCATGCCTTATAGTTACAATGAAAGATACTGACCTTTAGAACCAGGTAAATTTGGCCTGTGGTAGAAAAAGTTGTACATTCCTAGATTAAGCAAGCATGAATTTTCAAACTATAACCATAGAGCATTAGAGAGCAATGCAGAGCTCTAGGGAATGAAGGTAAGAAGATTTGAAATCTCTGCATTTAAATAAAGGCCTCCTGGCTTCTGTGCCCTGATTAAGTTAAATTATATGCCTATAAAGCATATTTTCATGCTTAGCATTATCAATTTACTTTCTATTTGACAGTCTATGAAATGTGTCATATCAAAAATTGGCATAATTCTAGCTGATATTAACCTGTCACTGTGATTATCAGTTATACTTCAGTGATTGCATCATTAGTGGGAAATGCCTAATTGCTATAATTTTTTTTTAAAATAGGTTACAGGTAAACTAACCCAGATAAAATGGCAACCCATTCTTTGGAATGAATCCTTACTTACTTAGCTATTTACAAATGCAGATGAGAAAAAAAATATGGAAAGCCGGAAAGACAACTGGCTTCATATTTAGAATTCAGAACCTATTACAAGATGTATTATGAACTTGCATGACCTTGAACGAAGCATTTTATGTTGTAAAGTCTAAATTTCCACATCTTTAAAATGAAGATTGGATTGAACTGTCTTTTAAGTCCTCTGTAGCCCTAAAATCTTCTGACTTTCAATCATTACTAGTACTGCATTTTTAAATTCAACAAAGATATATGATATATTCTATTACTTGAACATGGTTTATTTCTGCTAGAAGCTTTGCATTTTCTCAAAGATGTGTCATTTTGATCATATTTTTATGCAAATTTTATGTCCGTGTAGTGATTATTTTAATATAAATAGACATTCTGGGGATAGGATTCAAATGTTTATCAAATAGGTTTTCTTTTTTTAATTTGCCTGTTTGAATATAATATCCCTAAAGTTATTGCTGATCAAACAGCATCCAGCCAACTGATAAATTCCTAACACCTGATCCAAACACACATCTGCCAAAGATTTTCAGAAGCAGATGTAGAAGTTTTTATTCGTTTTTGTTGTTGTTTTGACAATCTTTATTGGCATAGTAATAGAGGTATTTTTGTTTCAGGGTTATAGTGACATTGACACGTATCTACTTAAATAAATTAGCATTCTAATCTCTCATTGACATTTGGTTGGAATAACATATTCATATGTCAGCGTGAACTGACCCAAGCAATTCCAGTAAAATCCATGAGCAATACAAGATGTACTGTTATGTGTGCTTGCTACTAAAATGGAGTAGTGTTGGGTTGACATCTATTGCCCTACAACTGATTTTTGTATGTTCATGTGCTGAATATTAAATCATAACACAGAACAAAAGCATAAGTAAGTACAGAGGAGAAAAGAAAGCTTTTATTATTTTATTACTGTTTTATTATTTACGAAAATATGATTACTGGCACTATTTCTAAAAGCTGTTTTCAATGGAGATTCTACAGAATAACTGTTAAGTCCTTTTATTCAGTTTACAAGGCCATTCATGTTCTGACCTTGCCCAGCTCTTAGACCTTGTTTTGTTACCTTCTATTTCTTCATTTCTCATATTATCACAACCACACTGACCTATTTTATTTAGAGTTTTCTGAATACGTCTTGCTTTCATGTCTCTGAGCCTCCTTGCTGTCCCCTCTGCCTGGCATGTTGTTCCTTTCTTGCTTACCTGACAAACTCCTATTTATCTCATAGTTTCAGCTCCAAGACTTCTTCATTCATCCACTCTTTTCTTCAAGCAATATTTATCTGATGTAGATGCTTGGAATAGTCCTGAGAGCTTATGATTAAAAAAAAATCCAAACAAATATAAATAGTCTGAGAGTTCTATTAAGGGGAAATACACAGTGTTATTGTTACTGGAAAAGGGTCCTGATCCAGACTCCAAGAGAGGGTTCTTGGATCTCATGCAAGAAAGAATTTGAAGAGAGTCCATATAGCAAAGTGAAGGCAAGTTTATTAGGAAAGTAAAGGAATAAAAGAATGGCTACTCCATAGGCAGAGCAGCGGTATGGGCCACTGGTTGCCCATTTTTATGGATATTTCCTGATCACATGCAAAGAGTGCATTATTCATGCACTTTTTAGACCATATAGGGTAAGTTCTTCAAATTGTCATGGCATTTGTAAACTGACATGGCACTGGTGAGAGTGTAGCAGTGAGGACAACCAGCAGTGAAGGCAGGGAAGGCATAGTGGATGCTGTGGTGTAGCAACCAGATATACCCTTCAGGACTAAGACTATTACTCACCTAACTGCTGGGAGTATTGGCAACCAGCAGCTCATAGCTGATACCAAATTTGAGAATTGCCCTTAACCAAAGGGAACTTACCTTGTTTAAATTAACAATCCTCTTCCTGGGGCAGATCGGTGTGGAGTAGGCGGGTGAAAAGACCTGGCCCTTTGCATCAATCACTGGCCTTTGCAATTTCCTATAGGATTATCTGAGGCCTCTGATGCAATGGCATCACAGCGCAACCTCTGCCCAATTCTACTTCTCTCATACCTTTTCAGACTTGATCCTCAGAGCATTCTTTTGTTATCGTTGTTTTTTTAAAGCACCAAGTTTTGAGGTGATTTGTTTCATATTAGTAAATAACTAATGCTTCTTCCCTAGTCCCTCTACGCATTCAAACAACTAAGGTTTCTGCTTGTTCTTCTCCTTATTTGGATCTATTAAGCACTCCCTATCCCAGTTTATTAAAAGATACATTTCATTATTTTCATCCCTCCTGGCAAGGAGAATTTAAGTTACCATATTAAATGCTTAGGTTCACATGGCCAGTAAGTGGCTCTGCTATTATTAAAACTGCAGCTAAACTCTTATGCTATATACTGTCTCACATGCCCTGGACAATGAAGTGCAACTGAAGTACTTTAAACAAAGGAATGACTATTTCTATTCAACAGTGTGCTGAATAGGGTAGTCAGTGACATCATACAATAAAGAGAAATTAGGTACAAAAAAATAAGACAGAAAAACATGACCTTGAATGCAGATGTAAAGCATGTCTACATGTATATTTCATGTTTCAGGCCACAACAAACAATAAGGATTTCCAAAATCCACTGATAAGCAGAGTTACGGTTAGAAAGACCTATTGTTATCTTGAACTCCCTTTTGTGAGGTTTCCTAAAATATTAGAAAAGCTGTCTATTCTTTTTTAGGTAATATTGATTGTGGTTAGGAAGTACAATGCCACTAGTGCAGTCTGACTGATTTGGGAAAGAATATATGCAGAAAGAGCTTTCTAAATATTAGGTTAAGTATCTCTTAATTTTTTTGTGTCTAAGTTCTCTATATGAACTCCCACCCACCTTATTTATTTCCATCCCTGGCTGATTATGATAAAAGCCTCTGTCCATTGGAAGCATTTCTATTGACTTTTAGATCAAGCAACATGGCTGATTAAACTAACATAGACTTCTTCCCTCTTGAACACAAGGAACCATTAGATAGAATAGAAATACAACAATAAAAATACAGAGAAATATATAACTGAGTTTTTAAAAGAGAAAGAAAACATTTTATTTTTTATCTTTCCTTTTTTAGACTTAGTATGTATATTTTTGTTATTATTGCTACCAAAATGAAAATGAAACCCAAGGTGATGCTGTAACAACTCACGGGGAATTTTGTTAGATGAGGGCCTTAGAAATACATGAGGCTTCAACACATATCTGGAGACAACAAATGTGGCCATGGACCCATTTGAGGCAAAGAGCTATGACTGAGGATCTTATATACATACAGAACCGTAAAAGATCTGTGTATTCACTGACAAAACTAAAGCAACAATCCAGAAACCCACAATCCAGAAACAAAGAGAAGGAAATATATCTCTACCTTGAAAGGGTTCAGTTCAGAGTTAAAAATAGTATGCACTCAAGAACAGGTTTCATGATCCTATTTAGATTAACTATATACGTCCAGACCCCAAACAAGAACTTACATAAAAACAATTCTTGAATCATTGCAAGACGTAGGGAATTCAGCAAGAAGAAAAATGTAAAACTATTTTCTAGCTAATAATTTGTTAATGAGGGGCACACTAAAAAGGGAAATAATCCATTCTAAAGGAGATTCGCAGACATTATAAGTAGAAGGATTTGTGTCTCTAGAAAAACTAAATTAAAAGAAAATATGAAATAGACTATTAAATATTTTAAAGTTTAGATAAAGCAATTGATGTAACAAAAATGAACAGGAAAATGTGCGAAAGAAGACAATAGAATATCTAAAACTAAATGCTTTATATTTATCGAAATTATAAATTCAATGAAAGATTTAAATAGCACATTAGACACAGCAATTTCTGAAGTGGAAAAAAAGATATCTAAGGACTTGACTAAGTTGAAGAGCAAAGCACAAATACCGTGGAAGAGAGGTCTGATAGTACTGAGTTAAAATTTACATTGGTGAAGTAATAATTTCTACAAGGCAGAGAAGATTTTTTAAGATTAAACACACCTAGTTGATATCATAGTGCAAATTTCCAAGGCAGTCAATATAATCCCACCTACCATCCTACCATAAGGCATGCAAGAAAGACCCCTGGCCAATGTATTAGGGAACTACATGAAATATGCAGTGACTAAGCATGAATAGGTTCTGTATTACAAGGACTTAATAGTAGTCTGCTAGATACAAGAGTAGCGCAAGTTACAGACGTGCACTAAATGTTGTGTGCCTAACTAAAGTCTGATATTTGAAAAATAGTTGCTAGAAACCCTGAGATTAATCTGCCTTAGTATATCAGTCTTCATCAAAATAAGAAGCTATTCTGGTACAAATAATGGAAGTGATTTAAAATAACCATCACTATGTTATATAAAAGAGTATCAGCATCTGGGACTACAGCCGCCCGCCACCATGCCCGGCTAATTTTTTGTAATTTTAGCAGAGACGGGGTTTCACCGTGTTAGCCAGGATGGTCTTTATCTCTTGACCTCGTGATCCACCCGCCTTGGCCTCGAAGGCTGAGGCAGGAGAATGGCGTGAACCTGGGAGGCAGAGCTGGCAGTGAGCCTAGATGGCACCACTGCACTCTAGCCTGGGCGACAGAGCGAGACTCCGTCTCAAAAAAAAAAAAAAAAAGAAACGAGTATCAGTATAATGCAGAGTCAAGAATCATAACAGTAAATGCAGAATTTAAAAAAAAACATCAATTACATTTGCCCCCAAATTTTTCTAATTTTTGTTTTGTTTTGTTTTTGTAAGATGGAGTCTTGTTTTGTCGTCCAGGCTGGAGTGCTGGAGTGCAGTAGCACGATCGCGGCCCACTGCAACATCCGCCTCCCAGATTCAGGTGATTCTCCTGCCTCAGCCTCCCAAGTAGCTGGAACTACAGGCACCTGCCACCACACCAGGCTAAGTTTTGTATTTTTAGTAGAGACGGGGTTTCACCATTTTGGCCAGGCTGGCGTCCACCTCCTGACCTCAAGTTATCCACCTGCCTCGGCCTTCCAAAGTACTGAGATTACAGGTGTGAGCCACCGTGCCCAGCCCAATTTCTCTTATTTCTTATCAAAATAGGATTGGAAGTTATTACTACATTGGAAAATTCTCACCATATGAATTCATTACAAATATATTTATATATTAAATTTTATATAATGTATTTCATGCTTACTGTTTTTATATTTCATAGTTATATTAATCAGCATAATCTGATTTTGTAGTCATTTTATTCTAAGTTAAAAATGGCTCCTTCTGCTATTATTAAAGAAAAATAACTAAACCAAGTAGACAAAAATGAAAATTACAGAGAAACTTGTTTCTCATAGAAGAAAGCCTCTGTCTCAAACAGAGAGGGGTAGTCTTATTACACTTGTCCCATAATCCTCACCTATGACCTTGAGCTCTTATAACATATTATTTGGAAACAGAATGACTACGCAAAAGTATATTATGAAATACACTTCTCCGTGAAATACCAAGGATGGCAAAAAATGAAGATCATCAAGGACTAATCCACTGACTGATTAAGGAATACACTATTGCTCATTGAGATTACCTTGAGACAATTAATTATTTCCTATTTGTAGGCAGAAATATCTTTGGGTTGTTACTGACAAGCTCATTTGGAATACAAAGAAAACCAAGTATGGTGTCAGTTTATGTAAAATGAATGTACCGTATAAAATATGGAAGACCTAAGCTCAATGTATAACATATCTAGCTTTATCTGTGCTCACCCTATTAATTTCATGTACCTCTGTCAACTTTAAAGGTGATTTATATGGCCTTATACAAATAGCCATATGAGAAATAGGTCTAAATAGTGTTTATTTCCTCTGTTTGCTGCATTCTTGTCCTCAAATGTTTTTATAGTTTGCTATGTCTGCTTTGAAAATTTGCAAAATTCCATGTCATGGGTGTTGAAAGTGTATTGCTACACTGCGTTTACATAGTTCAGCATTCTGTTAATATGTATTTCTAAGGCTTTTAATATAGCAAATTGTTTGTACACTTTCAATTGATGTGATACATTAGATTTTTAAAAAATCAATCTAAGTTTTAGCATTATGTTTATTAAATTTCCCATTGTAGCCACTCACCTTCGCAACTTATATGTTTACAAAACTATTAGTATGAAATGATAAACCTCATTGTTAAATTATCTTTAAAGAGATAATTATGTCTATTTTTAAAAATGTAATAAAAATTCCGAGCAACGTGAGAAAGTGGAAAATTGGGATCTCAGGATCATCTGGAATAGAACTGTGGGTAGTTTATCTTCTCAGCTGTCTCCTAGCATTATCCTTAATCTGCTTCCCAGGCGTCTGAGCTCCTCCATGTAAGACTGAAAATGTATTTCAACATCTAACTTGTATTATTACTTTCTCAGTTTGTTACCTGCATTCATGATAATGGTTGAAGTTTTGAGTCTCTGGTCAGTAAGATCATTGAATTTTTAGTTACACTATGACATAATGATTATTCTCCCCATTTTACAGCTCATGGAACTAAGGATCCAAAACGCTAAGTTGTTCATCTCAGGTTACAGTGCTTATGAATGAGTAGCATAATCCAAAAGGAGCAAGAGTCAGGCATTTGAATTCTAGACCTGGTTGTTCTCCAATAGAGTCTACATTAGGGCTTTGGAAAGTCATTCATTCTCCCTGTGATTTTTCTCAAATATCTGTGAAATGAACTTCTAGACTCCAGATCTGTTAATGGTTTCTTCAAGCCCTAAAATATTAGGAAGACTCTTACATAAATAGTATGAATAATGAAACATTCAACCATCTGAAAATGAAGTTATTCAAGATGGGATAGAAGAAAGGAGCATTGTGTACTTATCAAAGCCCTTTATTTTTATGTTGCATATTTTTACTTGTTCTCTCAGTTTCATGTAACATTATATATTTTAATGAAGATTACGTATTAAATAAGTTGTACTTATTAAAAATGTTACTAAGCATGAGTTTTAAATGACTACATGAAACTTAGAATTTTAAAACTCTGAAACACTTTTATGTCAGATCATTAGTAATGATTCTGGTGTCAGGAAATGTGGTGTCTATAACTAGCCATGTGTAATGCTGCACCTGTGTCAAGATGAAAGTAAATGGATACGTAAGCTTCTGTAGAGTCTCATGCTGAGTTTGTTCAGCCTGTTTCTGTAAATATATCTGTCTCTTACATCTGTTTTCTTCAAATACGAAAATCCACAGCTAAGTGTCTCGGAAACAAAATAGAATGATGAACAGAATACTCAGAGAGCAGGGACCATAGTCTCTAAATACTGTGACATTCTTCTAACATGGGAACTGTACATACTTCACTCATTTTTCTTCAGAAAACAAAAGGGAAAATATTTTAAAAGTGCAGAATAACAACCTAAATACCATACTGTATTAGATGCATGGGTTATTATTCTGCCTTCAAATCCTTCAATTTTAGTGAAATATAGTGTTCTTATGCAATGTGATCTGTGAAGTAAGGATTGTAAAGGAAGAAAGCAACAGTAAATACATATATGTGCGTCTGTGTGTGCATATGTATATAGTAAAAATAAATATAAAATTAAAATATTATGTATAGATGTGTTTGTGTTTGTATGCTTATATGTAATATCTTGCATGTATTTACTATCTTACTATTTTTATCACATATAAAAAGAAATTTCTTATTCCTGCTTGCAAGGGCAATCGAAATCTAACATAGAAACTAGTGGACATTCACGATCAAATCTATATAATGATGATAAGTTGTCTAACATTTCTAACATCTTTGTGCCTGTTTCTTCATTTATAAAGTGAGGGTAACAACAGCACTTCCATATAGATAGGGTCATTTTGCAGGTTAAATGGTTAATGTATGTAAAGCAGTACCAGGCATTTAGTAAGCTCTAAATAAATATTAAATGTAATTCTCAAGATATCATCATCATCATCATCATCATGAATTACCATTTAATTCTGAAGGTAAGAAATACTCTTTTAAATATGTATGTTAAGTAACTTGGCACGTTGACCTTGTCAGCACTGTTTATATTTTATTCACTGATGGTCAGGTTTACATCTAGGAGACAGAAGAAGTTAAATTGTTTTATAATGTATGCTACTCTGTGTTGAAAGTCCTGTGAGAGTCACTGAAACAGATGGGCAAAACTTGTTTTCTGTGTAAATCTACAAGAATTGTTCCTGGAGAGTTGAGAAAGGTTAGTTAATTCACGCAGAAACCTAAGATGTACATATGCAGAACAAATTAGTACAGTGGTCTGCCAAACATGTTTTTGTTTTCCTGCCTCAAGATAGAGAATTCTATGTGACATTAATGTATGTTCATCTCACTGTAAAGAACCATTATCACAGGCCTCATTTAATGTCACTGAATCAGTGTGTTGGGAAACCAAGGTCAACATATAGACAAGGATAAAACATAGTGAAAATTTTCTAGAACATTATAAATCGAAAAGATAGTCTAAGAAAGATATTTTCCTAATATTTAAGCTGACACTGCTATGTGAAGTGTTTTGAGACTTTTTGGGTCATGATTTCTTATTGGCTTATTTAGGATTTTCCCATTTCCTATTATACTTGACAACCATCTATAGTTTAATATTGAAGTTTATTTTCAGGATTCTTGTATCAGGTTTACATTATTATTATAAAACCATTAGATAGTTTTCTGTATTTCTTCATGCTCTAGAAGAAAAATTATAGTATTGAAAATGCTATTTTCAAATGCGAAAGTTTAATGCGTTTCCTAACCCATTTGCTCTGAGTTTATCTCAATAGTTCCTAGTGTATTTTTCTATATTTAACATCTACATTTCTTTGATTCAATTTAGAACAGGATTTTGTAGATGTTAAACACATCTATGAAAGACCTTCACAGCAACATTACAACAGCTAGACTACTGTTTGACCAAACAACTGGTCACCATAGCCTAGCTAAGTTGAGAAAAAAAAAAAAAAAATCATCATCATCATCACACCTATACCTAGCTTTTGGGAGTTTAAATGATGAAACTTTTTTTGAGGACTGTATCTGTTAGCTTAGCCTAGGTTACGTTATGATAACTAATTATGTGGAGTGTGAGAGTTGGATAAAAACGTGTTTATTTCTCACATGCCTACCCATCTTTCTTGAGTTGGCTGCAGCTTTTCTCTGTATCATCTTCATCTTAGGACCCAGCTTGCTGTAGCAACCTCTATCTGGAAGCATTACCAGTCTTACAGCAGAAGGAGAAAATAAATAATGAATCCCAAGCTGGTTCTTAAGTTTTGCTTATGTCACTTGTATTCACAATGCACTATCGATAGTGTATCACATAGCCAAGCCTGATGTGAAGGTGGAGGAGAGGACATGTCATCTTCTTTCCACGCAGAGCTCAGCAGGTCACATGGTCAAACTTGCCATCAATGGGACAGGGATGTATAACCACTGCTTAAGAAAGGGGAAGCAAATAATGTGAAGAATAATATTGTCGATCCTAAGTGCAATTTTTAATGAGTATAACCAAGTGTTTTTAAATTCAGATAGTTTTAACCTTCTATAAAATTCCTAGTGGACATTCAAAATGCAAACAAGGACCTATGGGAAGTAATGTCAACTTCAATATTTTCCATTTTAATATGGAAAATATTTTAAAATGTTTTTAAAGGCATGAACATGGTTAGTAGTTTTAAATTGATTCTCCTACTTACTTTCTTAGATACTCATCAATTCTATAAATAGTAAGTTTAGTAAATATGGCTTTATGGAATATAAATTATTCAAAATAAAGATATCAAATCATTATAGGTGTTGCAGTCTTCTCACCTCCCCCTAACCTGATCCTCATTAATTATAATAGAAATTAGCATGGAAATGTAAAAATAAGGAAAAAAATTTACCTTACCATTGGAAGCTAGCAAAAGTTTCCAAATTCTAGAAAATGTGAAGAATGTTTGCTGTATATAATATGGACTGTGTCATTTTAGGAAATAACCTAGCAGGCAGCTTTCTATTCACTTTCTATGAAAGAATCATGACCTCTCTGCAATAAAGGGGATTCTGTACTTCAGGGGTAATTCTACAGTTTTGGACATGTGAGGTTGTAGATGAGAATAGGATACGTAAAATATATAAATTATTTTACTTGAAGACCCTTTGTTACTGTAGAATATAGAATTTGAGAGTATCTGAGCAGATTGATACAAGGACTGGGTCCACATCCTCAAACACAAAGGTGGTAATAACAGTTGTGTCAGTTTTATCTCTAAGCAACAAGACAATCTCTTTTAATAGCGCAAGAAAAGAAGTTAGAAATAATTTTAGGAATTATTTTACTGTTCGAGGAAGACTGAGTTCTAGAAGTTTACATAAAAAATAATGACAGAATTATGAAAGTAGACAAGATTTTTCCAGAAGCAGCAAAAAGCAAAATGAAGCATCGGGGGGGCCGGGCGGGGAAGTGCAAACATTATGACAGTTCAATGCCCCCCTATCTTTTATTAAAGAAGGCTTATAAAATAATAGAGATGAACAACTCAATATAAAAATGGTCAACAGAACATCACAGACACACACACACGCACACACACACCACCACACACACACACACACAGAATAACAGACATCTCAATAGGAAATAGGTTTAGTGGTTGCCCTTACCATGGTCCCAAAGGAAGCTGTGATTTGAATAATTCTCTTTGCTCCAGATTCTCCCTTGGATGAAATGGTGCAGTTATGCTTAGGCTTTTTCTGATCTCATAGAGGTAAATCTACTTCTGCCCTTACCACAGTAGGTAATTTGTCTCCGGCATTTATCCAGGTGGATAGAAAGAAATAACTTGGACTCCACTCAGAGCAATTTTGTTTTATGCTTCCAAATAGGAACACAGCTTTATTTTCAATCCAAATATGATTCTTGGCTTAAGGCCCTGCCCTATATTTATTTCAAGACCTCAAGCCCAAAGGCCTGCTGTATCTTTTCCCAGTTCCCTGTGGGTTGTGCACTTTCAGTTCCCATTTATTACTCTGAGTTTTCTGTTTCAGTTATATAATGCTTTTCATTTCTGGATTTCAAATATGGCTATCTACATGTATGTAAATGTGTACTTTAATGCAAAATGATTATGACTTAGTAAGAGACGAAGATTTTGGGTAAGCCATCTTGAGCTAAACTCTCAGTACTCTTTGTATTACATAAAGATACTGTTACAGATCAAAAGTTTTATATTTTTTCTCGTTTTATTCTCTCTATTCCATAAGGGACTCCCAATGCTTCCAAATTTGCTGCCTCTGCTCCCAGGTACTAGCTTCTGTTTCCAATATTAGTCCAAATTTTATGTTGACTCAATTTGCAAGAACTTTTCCCCAGCTTTTCCAGACAGTTTGTGCATTTTTTTTGTTCCTTTTAGATCTTTTTACTTTATCTGGATATGCCTGAGTGCTATATAAAGATTCAGGGGTCTCACAAAAAAGAAATCTGAAGTTTACATTTTAACTGACTGCTCACGTTTCTTAAATTAATTGTAATGCAGAGTATAGTTTGGCAGAGGACTGAAAAATGAAATATATTCAAGCTTACTAGTTGTGCAAGGAAATATATATATTTTTAAGATGACTGAAATATAATATTAAGTATGGTGATGAGCTGTGTGCAATCTAATGTAATGTTTCCCCCAGTAATATTTGGATATGGAAAGATATATGGAAAGAACTCTGATATTTTAATACATCCATCATGAAAATATTTGTTGGGTCAGTAAGGTAATAACCAGAGAATAATGAATATTTGTTTAAACACAATCTTCTTAGTATGCAAAGACAGAATGTGAAAATAGGAAATATATTGTGTAAAAGTTTTAAAATTACATTGAATTCTCTATAGAAAAGAGATTATATATATTTATGCAGATCATTAAAAATAAGAAAAAGCTACACACATTCAAGTGTCCCTAATTAGTATATATGGTATACTGTGTGAAAAGGTTTGGCAAAGATAAATCCTGGATGCTTTACAAGTGTTCACTAGTCATCAACAATTATTCATATCTAAAAGTTAGCGAAACTCACCCAGAGGGAGTGCCTGAGGGTTAGCACTATTCATGACCTCCCTGGATATGTCTATCACAGTTGTGATGCATTTACTCAACATGTTGATCCCTTTTCCTTAAAAAAGAACAAAATCTGGACCTGGAACTAATACCCACATTTTTTCTAGTAAATGCTGACTAAATGTGTTTAAAGCTTATAAATATTCCATTTATTTAAACAACCAGGAGTCAAGATTTCCTGTAAAACAATACTCCAAAACAGCCTTTATCTTTGAGGTTGATTCCCTGTGTGAATCCCCTTATTCCTGGTTATTTTTGTAATATTATCCTGATACTGCCCAATGACTTAAGAATAAAAATACTTACCACTTAACCTACAGACTTGAGCTCATAAAAAAGTTTAGCAGAAATTTGCATCCTCTGCTCCAAAACTTAGAACTATTAAAATTGGCAGCCGGTATGTCTCTGCTAAATACTAAAGCCCGTTTTTCTTCCCACTGTTATTTGGATGGCCAATCTTGGTAACAATTAATGTAATTAGAAAGTTGCATTGAAAGTTTACCTGGGGCCTTGGCTCACACCTGTGATCTTAGCACTTTGGAGGCCAAGGTGAATTGCTTGAGGCCAGGATTTTGAGACCAGCCTGGGCACCATGGAGAAACCCCATCTCTTAAAAAAATAATAATAATACACAAATTAGCTGAGCATGGTGGTGCATGCCTGTAGGCCCAGCTACTGGGTTGAGGTGGGAGGATTGCTTGAGCCTGGAACGTTGAAGTTGCAGTGACTGAAATTGCACCACTGTACTCCATCGTGGGCGACAGAGCAACACTGTTGAGGAAATGTTTGTTTAAGAAAAACTTTTAAATAAAACTATTTCCTGGAAAAGGAAATATGGAAGTTTATTTGCTGTACTGGATGAATTCCTTAATAAGAATCATTTTCTTTAAACAACAAAGTGTATTGGAAAGTACAAGTTTTAAAGGTCAGAAAGAATAATTATCCTCATAAGAGGATAAATGAGATATGTTTGAAAAACACAAAGTTCAAAACAGATTCTTAATACATTAGTAATGAAAAAGGAAAATGCTAAAGTTCAGTTTCTTGAAAAAATGAACTTTAATAATCTCTTTAAGTTTTTCAGTTGGAAAAAAAATGTTGTCCCCAAGTTGTCAGCCAGACTACAGTGACTAAAGAAACAGAGTCAGGCGAGATGAGCTGACATTTCACTTGTTACACATTTGCATTATTAACTTTAATGTGCTGAAATTGTCAAGGGTAAAAAGAAAACTGCTTTATCAGGTCAGGTTCATGTGGTGTCTATATGATACTGACAAATAATTCAAAATTTTTCTGTTAAATCTAAAGTGTGATTATTTTCCAGGCATCTTGACAATCTCAACCTATATTGACGGGGTGCATGTGTGATATTGTTTTTCCACGTTCAGGCTGACTTCTTGATAGAATAGTGCCTATCTGGAATTCATTAATAAAGGGAAGGATGCCTATCTTTGAGATAGTTCTTCGTGAAAAGATTATTAACCCTGTAAATACAATATAATATCCTCATAGGTCCAGGGGTGGCAGCCTTCCACTCAGGGTCAAGTGCTGTAAGATTCCACCATTTTTCTTCTGAACAGTCTCTCCCCAAAATTAAAATATATAACACATTTTGTTTGTTGTATAGATGGGAAGACTTAAATTGTATTTTTATCAAATCTTGGAGTCAGAAGGTATTCCATTAGGATCAATAATAGTATACAGTGAAAACCCCATAGTTTATTAGAAAATTATAAATCTAAAAGAAATGACTGCTTTATTGTATATTCTTCTCAGTGACTATTTTACATTATTTTCTCCCTGAAGGGATAAAATGTTGGAAGCAAGACAAACAAGCAACCATTGTCTGAATTTTAAAAATCTAATTATATAGGTGTCTTATTCTGGTTGTCTTGCTATAAAGGAATACCTGAGACTGGGTAATTTAGAAAGAAAAATGGTTTATTTGGCTCATTGTTCTGGAAGCTGTACAAGAAGCATGGCACCTACATCTGCTTCTGATGAGGGCCTCAGGCTATCCATTCATGGCAGGAAGTGAAGGGAAGCCAGTGTTAGATACCACTTGGTGAGAGAATGGAAGCAAGAGATAAGGGACAGAGGTGCCAGGCTCTTTCTAATAACCAGCTCTGGTAGCAACTATTAGGTGGAGAACTCACTCAGTACCTCGAGAAAGGTACCACGCCAGTGATGAGGCATCCAACCCCCGAGCCAGACACCTCCCATTGTGCTCCATCTCCGACAGTAGAAATCAGATTTCAACATGAGGCCTGGAGGTTTAAATTTCTAAATTATCGCCAAAGGAAATCAGGATAATGACACTGGGATCAAACTGAATAGATTCAGAATTATGAACATTAATTCAATTGGATGAATAAATACATTAAAACAATGTATGTCCTAAAAATAAGCAGCTTTTAAGACATAAAAATAAGCAACAGCATAAAAATTTTATTTTTATAATCATTAGGTTTAGATTCTCTGTCATAAAAGCCCCAAAGCAAACAGTCATGCAGTTATTTGGGAAAAATGGCTATAAATCCAGAGAGAGATGAAACACCTAAATTAAGACTTACTTGCCAAAAAGGAGATAACAGACTGAAAGAATTCTAGAATGCATTAACTGGAAGGAACTTTAGAGTTTCCTCTTTAACTGACATATTTTTGGCAGGCCACACAGCGTATGTGTGAAGAGTAATGCTAAGATGCCCCAAATCAGTTAATATTTGCAAAATAATTGCATTGTGAAATTCACAGTCGTTTAGTATAATTTAAGCATGTTTATATGGTTTCATCCAAAACCAAAATAAAATAGGGGTAAATATTTATTGAAAATGTTATGAAGAAAAACTTTGAGGAAAATAATCTAGTGTTATTAATAACCAAATTTGATTTAAGTAGCAATATCTAATAGTAGCTACTTGCAAATCAATTTAATAAAACAAATTTTATTCTGGTGCAATAACTCCACATAGAAACACAAAATTAAATTTCTCCTTCCTCATATATATGTAAAACACAAATTACAAACCATATGTGTATAGGAATTTATTCAAATGAGTACATATCTATCTAATATGCATATATATAATACACACACACACACACACACACACACACACACACACATGCCGAGACCAGCTCAGTCGGGGAGACCCTAACCCAGCAGCACTAGAGGAATTAAAGACACACACACACAGAAATATAGAGGTGTGGAGTGGAAAATCGGGGGTCTCACAGCCTTCAGAGCTGAGAGCCTTGAACAGAGATTTACCCACATATTTATTGACAGCAAGCCCGTGATAAGCATTGTTTCTATAGATTAACTAAAAGTATTCCTTATGGGAAACAAAGGGATGGGTTGGGCTAGTTATCTGCAGCAGGAGCATGTCCTTAAGGCACAGATCACTGGTGCTATTGTTTGTGGTTTAAGGATGCCTTTAAGTGGTTTTCCGCCCTGGGTGGGCCAGGTGTCCCTTGCCCTCATTCCGGTAAACCCACAACCTTCCAGTGTGGGCGTCATGGCCATCACGAACATGTCACAGTGCTGCAGAGATTTTGTTTATGGCCAGTGATGGGGCCAATTCGTGGCCATATTTTGGGGGGCCTGTTCCCAACACACATAAAACTTCAGGCAGATTTCTTTCCACGCAGATAGCTGCTGCATCTTTGGGGAATACAGAGCTTGCTTCCTTATAGCAAAAAGAAAATCTCAAAGAGCAACTTTTAAATGTTTTTGATCCTGAGATCCTACATCAAGCACCAATAATTCTGTAAATATTATAGTTCACACTATAGATTTTACAAGTCCCTTCTGCCAGGAAACAAAATTATCTTATGAAAATTTTATTAAACTGAGACTTCAACATATTAAAGGAGTGATTAGAATTCTTTCTCAAGATCATTATGATGCCCAAATCTTATACAGTATCTTTTGATATCTTTAGTGTTTTTTTATGGAAAACACAAAATAAAACTGAGCATTTGCCATTATATGAAACATTAAATAGCATACAATCTGATAATAGAACTTCTGATTACATAGAAATAATTTGCATAAACTGTAAACTTGCTTTTTGAGAAGTGTATCTTAGGTTCTATATTGTAATGGTAATTCCTCTTTAAAGCCTGCATCAGGGGATGTTAATTCAAATGCTTTCAGCAGGCAAGCAGGTAAAATAAATTCACAAGATATTAGAGAGAGACTACAATCCAGTGGAGTAGCTACCATGGTCAAAGATAAAGTGCATTGACGTAAAGGGCTTAAAAGAATTCTACTTATTAATGTTATTTAATAGTTTACTCATCCCCAAATCATCTAATATTATCACTGGCCTCAAATTGTCCTAAAGATTTTCAAAATAATTTCACATAAGTTATTTCATTTTGAACTTCATGGTCTTTTGGTACGCAAGGCAATTGATTCTCATTACCTAATAATAGGTGAGAAATCTCAGGCTTAGATATTTTGATTAACTTTCCAAGAACGTTCTCTGAAATTATAGACAGACTGTCACAGGCAATGTAGATTGCTTCTGAGCTATGCTACTCAACAGTACTCTGGCAGGCTCAACAATCATGGCAGTAGCCCTCGTGGAATCTACTCTATATTTTTGGGCCAATATCATTTTCCTTGGGTTGGAAGGGAAACAAACCTAGTCAAAGAAAGAAAAAAAGTGGGATGAATGAAACTTTGATCTCTCAAAATTCCTGATGCTAAAACACATAGTGAGAAAACACTCCTCTGTTGTCCATAAATCCTGACCATGTGTAAAAGTGTAGAGACAATGATAGAATTACATTTGTGGATGCAGCTGGGATTCAAAGGTGCAGAATTTGATAATACAACTCTTCCTACCTAAGCTCCATGTAATTCTGTCAGGTAAATGTCTTGCCATGTTTTCATTGATCTTGCTGTGGAAACATTGGTCATAAGAAAACTGACCTTACTCTGACTGAAAGAAAACTAAGAAAACAGGAACTCCAAGTGCATGAGGTCCAGCGCCTGGGTCAGAAGCAATCCAAAAAGCCACATGGCCCTGCTCCACCAACCACCTGGCACTTTTCAATAAATCAGTTGCATTAAATGAATGGGTTACATTTTCCTTTTAGAGGGTAACATGCAGAATGTGTAGCTTTTAATTAGAAGTTTTAATAAGAAAGGGTTTACTAAAGTATGTACTCCTATTTCAAGTCAGCATATGTATTCCAAAGATGTTTGCTAGCTTTTAAATAATTAAGGCACAAAACCATTATCCATATGGGAGAAAAAAATAA